>NC_000002.12:31950628-32103378 GCF_000001405.40 Homo sapiens | reverse complement strand
ACCAAGACTAATAAAGAAGAAAAGAGAGAAGAATCAAATAGATGCAATAAGAAATGATAAAGGGGATATCACCACCGATTCCACAGAAATGCAAACTACCATCAGAGAATACTATAAACACCTCTACTCAAATAAACTAGAAAATCTAGAAGAAATGGATAAATCCCTGGACACATACAGCCTCCCAAGGCTAAACCAGGAAGAAGCTGAATCCCTGAATAGACCAATAACAGGCTCTGAAATTGAGGCAATAATTAATAGCCTACTAACCAAAAAAAGTCCAGGACCAGATGGATTCACAGCTGAATTCTACCAGAGGTACAAAGAGGAGCTGGTACCATTCCTTCTGAAATGATTCCAATCAATAGAAAAAGAGGGAATCCTCCCTAACTCATTTTATGAGGCCAGCATCATCCTGATACCAAAGCCTGGCAGAGACACAACAAAGAGAATTTTAGACCAATATCCCTGATGAACATCAACGCAAAAATCCTCAATAAAATACTGGCAAACCGAATCCAGCAGCACATCAAAAAGCTTATCCAACGCAATCAAGTTGGCTTCATCCCTGGGATGCAAGGCTGGTTCAACATATGCAAATCAATAAACGTAATCCATCATATAAACAGAACCAAAGACAAAAACCACATGATTATCTCAATAGATGCAGAAAAGGCCTTTGACAAAATTCAACAGCCCTTCATGCTAAAAACTCTCAATAAACTAGGTATTGATGGGATGTATCTCAAAATAATAAGAGCTATTTATGACAAACCCACAGCCAATATCATACTGAATGGGCAAAAACTGGAAGCATTCCCTTTGAAAGCTAGCACAAGACAGGGATGCCCTCTCTCACCACTCCTGTTCAACATAGTGTTGGAAGTTCTGGCCAGGGCAATCAGGCAGGAGAAAGAAATAAAGGGTATCCAATTAGGAAAAGAAAGTCAAATTGTCCCTGTTTGGAGATGACATGATTGTATATTTAGAAAACCCCATCATCTCAGCCCAAAATCTCCTTAAGCTGATAAGCAACTTCAGCAAAGTCTCAGGATACAAAATCAATGTGCAAAAATCACAAGCATTCCTATACACCAATAACAGACAAACAGCCAAATCATGAGTGAACTCCCATTCACAATTGCTTCAAAGAGAATAAAATACCTAGGAATCCAACTTACAAGGGATGTGAAGGACCTCTTCAAGGAGAACTACAAACCACTGCTCAATGAAATAAAAGAGGACACAGACAAATGGAAGAACATTCCATGCTTATGGATAGGAAGAATCAATATCATGAAAATGGCCACACTGCCCAAGGTAATTTATAGATTCAATGCCATCCCCATCAAGCTACAAATGACTTTCTTCACAGAATTGGAAAAAACTACTTTAAAGTTCATATGGAACCAAAAAAGAGCCTGCATTGCCAAGACAATCCTAAGCCAAAAGAACAAAGCTGGAGGCATCGTGCTACCTGACTTCAAACTATACTACGAAGGTACAGTAATCAAAACAGCATGGTACTGATACCAAAACAGAGATATAGACCAATGGAACAGAACAGAGCCCTCAGAAATAATACCACACATCTACAACCATGTGATCTTTGACAAACCTGACAAAAACAATAAATGGGGAAAGGATTTCCTATTTAATAAATGGTGCTGGGAAAACTGGCTAGCCAAACGTACAAAGCTGAAACTGGATCCCTTCCTTACACCTTATACAAAAATTAATTCAAGATGGATTAAAGACTTAAATGTTAGTTCTAAAACTATAAAAACCCTAGAAGAAAATCTAGGCAATACCATTCAGGACACTGGCATGGGCACTGGCATGGGCAAGGACTTCATGCCTAAAACACCAAAAGCAATGGCAACAAAAGCCAAAATTGACAAATGGGATCTAATTAAACTAAAGAGTTTCTGCACAGCAAAAGAAACTACCATCAGAGTGAACAGGCAACCTATAGAATGGGAGAAAATTTTTGCAATCTACCCATCTGACAAAGGGCTGATATCCAGAATCTACAAAGAACTTAAAAAAATTTACAAGAAAAAAATCAAACAACCCCATCAAAAAGTGGGCAAAGTATATGAACAGATGCTTCTCAAAAGAAGACATTTATGCAGCCAAAAGACACATGAAAAAATGCTCATCATCACTGGCCATCAGAGAAATGCAAATCAAAACCACAATGAGATACCGTCTCACACCAGTTAGAATGGCGATCATTAAAAACTCAGGAAACAACAGGTGCTGGAGAGGATGTGGAGAAACAGGAACACTTTTACACTGTTGATGGGAACGTAAACTAGTTCAACCATTGTGGAAGACAGTGTGGCGATTCCTCAAGGATCTAGAACTAGAAATACCATTTGACCCAGCCATCCCATTACTGGGTATATACCCAAAGGATTATAAATCATGCTGCTATAAAGACACATGCACATGTATGTTTACTGTGGCACTATTCACAATAGCAAAGACTTGGAATCAATGCAAATGTCCATCAATGATAGACTGGACTAAGAAAATATGGCACATATACACCATGGAATACTAAGCAGCCATCAAAAAGGATGAGTTCATGTCCTTTGTAGGGACATGGATGAAGCTGGAAACCATCATTCTGAGCAAACTATCGCAAGGACAGAAAACCAAACACCGTATGTTCTCACTCACAGATGGGAACTGAACAATGAGAACACTTGGACACAGGGTGGGGAACATCACACAATGGGGCCTGTCGTGGGGTGAGGGGAGAGGGGAGGGGTAGCATTAGGAGATATACCTAATGTAAATGACAAGTTAATGGGTGCGGCACACCAACATGGCACTTGTATACATATGTAACAAACCTGCATGTTGTGCACATGCACCCTAGAACGTAAAGTGTAATTAAAAATATATATATAATTATTATGCCAAAAGAAAAAGAAGGCAGTTGTTTTATAGCCTAACCTAAGGTTGTTCTGGTATAATTTGAAAAAAGTAATATTAAATATAATTTGAGCCCTGCACATGAAACTATTGCTAAAAAAAAAAAAAAAAAGTAACCAATAAAACTAGCTGGACCGTCAAAAACAAAGATATGAAAAAATGCTCAACATCGTTAATTATGAGGGAAATGCAAATCAAAACCACAACAAGGTATCTTACCCCAGTTAGGATGGCTATTATCAAAAAGACAAAAAAAGTACCAAATGCTGGTGAGGATGTGTAGAAAGTGAACTCTTATACGCTACTTTTGGGAATCTAAACTAGTACAGCTACTATGGAGAAGAGTATGGAGGTTCCTCAAAAACTACAAACAGAACTACCATATGACCCACCAATCCCACTATTGGGAATTTATCCAAAGGAAAGAAAATCATCATATCGAACAGACATCTACACCCCATGTTTACTGCAGCACTATTCACAACAGCCAAGATACAGAATCAACCTAGGTGTCCAAGAACAGACGAATGAATAAAGAAAATGTGGTATATATACACACAGAATATTATTTTTAAAAAGTTAATCTCATAGAAATAAAAAGTAGAACAGAGGATACTAGAGGCTGAAAAGGGTAGGGAAAGGATACAAAGGTATAGCTAGATAGAAAGAGTAAGCTCCATTGTTCTACATCACTGCAGGATGATTATAGGTAACAATATAATATATTATATCATTTCAAATGCTAGAAGGAAAATACTGAATGTTTCCAACACAAGGAATGATAAATGTTTGGGATGATGGAAATGATAATTACCTTGATCTAATCACCATATACTATATGTATCAAAACATCACTGTGTACCCCATGAACAGGTACATTATCTGTCAACTAAAAAAAAAGTTTTAATTAAACAAAAAGCTAGCTCAGATGTCAGAGAACCTAAGAAATGGAGAGTCCCCTACCCAAAGAAAACAAAACAGAAAGACATTTAATCTTCTGTAGAAGTTGATATCCAAAAGTTTATGAAGGATAGAGTTAATCCATAGCAAATAATACTGTAATGTTTCTCCTCACTATGTGAAGTTTCAAATTTCTTCTATCAAGTACTATAAGACATTCACATATACTATAAATGAAAATTGATATGCAATAAAAATTGATACATAAAAAATTAAAATGTGTCTTAGAAAACACTATTTCATGAAAAAAATCAGTATAGCTATCCATATAAAAACACAAAAGCCACAACAGAAAAAAAGATTATTTTAATCACTTACGGGAATGTATACCTTCATATTTTATAATCTGAAAAACCAGAGGTTGCAAAATATGCAAATAAAGCAAGTTTAGAATGACTATACCTGACTTGTTGCATGTTTATATACTATGATGATAAAGGTACTATATTTTCAACACAGCCCTGTGAAAACATGAACAATTAAACCTACCATTATAAAATCAAATCAACATTATCAGGTTAAGTAAGACTCTTACTTTGCATGCAAGCTTTATTATTTTATGTTAGTTAACCTAAACCCACCTGACTGGAGATGTCCATTGCGGCATGCCAAGTTAGTACTGTCATTATAGACGTCCGTTTGTGACTTGGAAAATGGCAAAACTGGTTGCATCTTCTCTATGCAACAGAGAAGGTAAAAAACAGAAAAAATAAACAAAAAGAAAAAAGATAATGAACAAATAAAATGTGCATGTGAAATGACAAATTACTCAAGGTGTTACCAGATTGTTACATGATAAAAAGTTTTTGCATTTATATAAAATTATCTTTTAAAATATAATTAGTAAAAATGAAGTCACGAAAATAACAGAAATTAACAAGTGAATGGCTATGTTAAAAATAGGCCTTATTCAGGTTAGGTAACCTGAGGTAGTTAGATATCACTATCATCACCAGAAAATATTTACTGAATATCTAATACGTCCAAAACAAATACCATGGAGATAATTATCGGTCTTGGTCTTGCTCTGTCACCCAGGCTGAAGTACAGTGGCACCATCATGGCTCACTGTGGCCTCAACTCCCTGAGCTCAAGTTATCCTTCTGCCTCAGTCTCCTGAGTAGTTGACACTACATACAGACACCACTATGCCCAGCTAATTTATTTTTTGTAGAGACGGGGTCTCAATATGTTCCACAGGCTGGGCTCAAGCTCCTGGCCTTAAGCGATCCTCCCGCCTTAGCCTCCCAAAGTGCAGGGATTACAGACATGAGCCACAGTTCCTGGCACTACGGAGATTAAAAAATGAATCAATTTCTACCATTTAGGTATTTATTAAATATAATTAGCAACTTATAATAAAACTGTAGATTTTTTAAAAGACTGCATGGTACAAAAGAAAGATCACTGAAAAAGCTTTACAGAGCAAGTGGGCTATGAACTGGCTAGAATTTGAAAAGATTAAAAGAAAGGACAGCCAGGCGCAGTGGCTCACGTCTGTAATCCCAGCACTTTGGGAGGCTGAGGCAGGCAGATCAGGAGGTCAGGAGATTGAGGCGATCCTGGCTAACACAGTGAAACCCTGTCTCTACTAAAACAAACAAACAAAAAAGTATCCGGGCGTGGTGGCACGCGCCTGTAGTCCCAACTACTCGGGAAGCTGAGGCAGGGGAATGGCTTAAACCGGGGAGGTGGAGGTTGCAGTGAGCTGAGATTGTGCCACTGCACTCCAGCCTGGGTGACAGAGCGAGACTCTGTCTCAAAAAAAAAAAAAGAAAAGAAAAAAAAAAAGGACATTTCAGGGAAGGAGAACAGCATTTAAAGTAGCACAGAATGAAACTATAAGGATTGTCTGGGAAATGCCCTATTTGGCCACATTAACATATGTCAGGCAGAAAATAAAAGCAATAAAGCAAAGTCAAATAAGCATACTGCAGTAACTGTATATATATACAATACCCTACCATTTGTGTAAACATACATGTGCACAGTTGCATACAAAAAGATTACCTCTAAAAAGGACCCAGAGAAACTGATAATAACAGCCGCCTCTAGGGAGGGGAAATGGGTAGCCAGGGCATAGAATGGGATGGATGCTTTTCACACTCAAACTTGTTAAAATTTTGTGACATACGTCTACATTACCTATTTTTTATATTAATCAATTAAAAGGGAGTATTTCAACCTTACCCCCACATCAAATAACAACAAAAACCCCTCCCAAGATCTGGGTCTCTTAAGTCTAGCAACTGAAGCCCAAGAAGGTAGCAGTTTGATCCCTGACACTCTAAACTACTGCTGCACTCTCTTCCCCAAGTGGAGTATTGTGCTGAATCATAATTGATTCTTTTCTTCTGTACCAGCAAGTCAATGAATACATAAAAAATGCAGCACCTATATATTAACTCTCTTAAACTTTCATTTCTAAAGTTTGACAAACAGGTACCATGCTTGGTTTACGGTACAACCACACATGCCTTTGGGACAGGTCAAATAGCAGCTACCCTTTTTGGCACAAAACACAAAGTACTGCATGGCTTTTGTATCCTAGAACTGGCTGATACAATATACCTTGGAGGTTTTTTTTTTTTTGAGCTAACAGGTTGGTCATCTGATTTTTCTCAATGATAAACTCTTTAAATGACCATGCTGAGACAGAAACCCTTTGTCTCAGTAAAAGCATAAATCAAAAAATACACTGATTTGTAAATGTAGACATCCGTACATAAATGTGAATTAATACTCCCCTCAATGAAATTTTAACAAAAAGTTAACAGAACCATTCATTATGTAATAAAAAGAAAGAAATTATATTCTTAGTTTTTATAGCTAGGAATAAAAAGCTATAGGATTTCTTTTCGTGTACACAGAATTCAGATTTATATGTGTAGAAACAGACACATACAGTGTAACAGTACATTGCTTCTGTGAACCTGCTCCAATTCATTTTTTTTTTCTTGGAGGAGGAGTCATAGACACATACAGTATAACAGTAAACAGCATCTGTGAAACTGCTCCAATATTTTTTCTTTTTTTTGGAGACGGAGTCTCACTCTGTCGCCCAGGCTGGAGCGCAGTGGTGCGACCTCAGCTCATTGCAACCTCTGCCTTATGGGTTCAAGAGAGTCTCCTGCCTCAGCCTCCCGAATAGCTGGGATTACAGGTGGGTGCCCCCATGCCCAGCTAATTTTTGTAATTTTAGTAGATACAAGGTTTTGCCATGTTGGCCAGACTTGTCTCAAACTCCTGACCTCAGGTGATCTGCCCGCCTCGGCCTCCCAAAGTACTGGGATTACAGGCGTGAGCCACCGCGCCCAGACCCAATTCACTTCTGTTAAAGGACTAATGTTTCTTTTTGGAATGACTAGGATTGTACAGATTAATCAATGATTTAAATTAAAGCAGTAACTTTGCTGCTTTACCTCCTCACATCCAACCCCCACAGTCATCTGAGTGATCTACTGGAGAGGAAAACCTTACCATATAACACTCTTCTACTTAAAACCCTTTAGTGGCTTCCCATTGCCCACAGATAAGAGCCCAAGCTCCTTCCTATGACAAACCAGGCCATCCATGATCTGCCTATACCTCTTACGCCTCGGCAATCCCAACTTCATGTCTCAACCTGTACCCTCCCCTACTCACCATGCTTTTCTTGCCTTTGAGTATTTGTTCATGTCATCACATTTTCCTGACATATCTTTTCTCAAATTCTTTTTCTTTTCATTTTCTTTGAGACAGGGTCTCACTCTGTCACCCAGACTAGAGTGCAGTGGTGTACTCATGGCTCACTGCAGTCTCGACCTCCTGAGCTCAAGCAATCCTCCTGCCTCAGCCTCCCAAGTAAGTAGCTAGGACTACAGGTGCACATCACCACTCCTGGCTATTTTTTTTTTTTTTAAATTTAGACATGGGGTCTCAGTACGCTGTCCAGGCTGGTTTCAAACTCCTGGACTCAAGCAATACCCCCGACTCAACCTCCCAAAGTGCTAGGATTACAGGTATGAGCCACTGTGCCCAGCCCTCACATTCTTTCATAACTTTTATTCATTTATCTAAGTGTATATTTTAGGTTTCACTTCTAGGAAGCTTTCTTTTCTTTCTTTAACCAGCTTTGTCACACAAGAAAGCTTTCTTAGCACCTTTTACACCCTTGCAAAATATTTCTAATACCCATCCTGCAGTGATGACTATTTATGTGTCTGTTTCTCCTACTGTATTATGAGATCCATAAAGAGAGGACCATTTTATCCAATCTATCAGCAAATCTAGTTGTTCGACCTTCAACTATAATCATAATCCAACCACTTGTTACCATTTCTCCTGATACTACCCTGGTGCAAGCCTCTATCACTTTTCTCCTAGATTACTGTAACAGTGTCCTAATTGCTCTCCCTGGTTCTACCCTTAGAGTCTATAATGCAACATAGCAACCAGAGTGATCCTTCTAAAATTTAAGTCAGAGTATTTCATTCCTTTCCTAAAAATCTTTTTTTCTGGCTTTGAGACGGAGTCTCGCTTTGTTGCCCAGGCTGGAGGGCAGTGGCGCAACCTCGGCTCACTGCAACCTCCGCCTCCCGGGTTCAAGTGATTCTTCTGCCTCAGCCTCCCGAGTATTTGGGATTACAAGCATGGCCACCACACGCAGCTAATTTTTCTATTTTTAGTAAAGACAAGGTTTCGCCATGTTGGCCAGGCTGGTCTCGAACTCCTGACCTCAGGTGATCCACCCACCTCAGCCTCCCAAAGAGCTGGGATTATAGGCATGAGCCACTGCACTGGGCTGCTTTCTTAAAAATCTTTGTAACTGCTCCCCATTTCACAGGCGGTAAAAGCTCAAGTCCTCATGGTGGCCTTTACAGCCCTGCGTGTTGTGACAATCCCTCTCCGCATGAGTTCTCTGACTTCATCTCTACTATAATCTCCTTGCTGGAACACATTGGCCTCTTTGCTGCTTCACAAACATACCAGGTACTTTCTCTTAAGGCGTTGTATTGGCTCTTACTTCTCTGTGGACCATTATTGTCCCAGGTATCATCATGGCTAACTCATGGCAACTTCTCAAAGAGGAGACCATCCTGTTTAAAACCAAAAACCCAAACTAGGGCCACCTGTAATCCCAGCTACTCAGGAGGATGAGGCAGGATAATCGCTTGAACCCGGGAGGCAGAGGTTGCAGTGAGCCGAGATCACGCCATTGCACTCTGGCCTGGGTGATAAGGCAAGACTCCGTCTCAAAAAAAAGAAAAAAGAGGTGACATCACAAATTCCTGTCTTTCAATAACTCAGAAGGTCTGGGAGTGGATATACCTAAGACAATAAAAATGACTTGTGTACAAACGTGTATTAATAGTAACATATTTGTTTATTATGTGCTGGTTAAAAATTGGAGCTTTTCAGAGATGTGGTGCCAGATAGGTATCTAATTAGGATGGAAAATGGAGAGAATGATCCTGGGAATTCCTAATACTGACTGGTTTGAGAGGATGTAGCCTCTCTGTTAAAAATGGGAAAAGACCATCCATATTATTTATTTTTGGTTTAGTGATAGTGAACCTTAGAGCAAAGCTTAACTGTAAAACCTGCAATAGATGAAAAGATTAATTTTGATGTCGGCAAATTGGCGTATCTGGCTGTTATATATATATATATATTTTTAAGATAGCTTCATTTAACATTCATTTATTAAGTCCCTACACTGTATCAGGTATAGTGCCAAGGGTTATAAACAACTTCATTAACTTGGCAAATATTTATTCGGTAACTAGCATGTGCTAGACACTGTTGTAGGCACTTGGGATATAGACAAGGATCCCTCCTCCATAGAGTTTATATTCCAACAGGGAGAAGACAGATAGTACACAATAAACATAAAAAATAAGTTACACAGTTTATTAGAAGGTGACAAATATATGGGAAAAAAATAAGTGAAACACAGTAAGGGAGATTAGGAGTGGACAAGAGGTGGTTTGGTTTGTTTGTTTTTGTTTTGAGACAAAGTCTCACTCTGTCATCCAGGCTAGAGTGCAGTGGTGTGGTCTCTGCTTACTGCAACCTCTGCCTCCCAGGCTCGAGCAATTCTCATGCCTCAACCTCCCAAGTAGGTGAGATTAGAGGTGCCCGCCACCATGCCCGGCTATTTTTTTTTTTTTTTTTTTTTTTGAGACGGAGTCTCGCTCTGTCACCCAGGCTGGAGTGCAGTGGCGGGATCTCGGCTCACTGCAAGCTCCGCCTCCCGGGTTCACGCCATTCTCCTTCCTCAGCCTCCCAAGTAGCTGGGACTACAGGCGCCCGCCACTACGCCCGGCTAATTTTTTTGTATTTTTAGTAGAGACGGGGTTTCACTATGTTGCCCAGGCACCCAGCTGGTCTCGAACTCCTGACCTCAAGTGATCTGCTCGCCTCAGTCTCCCAAAGTGCTAGGATTACAGGTGTGAGCCACAGTGCCCGGCGTTTTTTTTTTTTTGAGACGGAGTCTCTCTCTGTCACCCAGTCTGGAGTGCAGTGGTGCCATCTTGGCTCAATGCAACCTCCATTTTCTGGGTTCAAGCCATCCTCCTGACTCAGCCTCCTGAGTAGCTGGGATTACAGGTGCGTACCACCAGCCTGGCTAATTTTTTGTATTTTTAGTAGAGATTAGGTTTCACCATGTTACCAGACTGGTCGTGAACTCCTGACCTCAGGTGATCCGCCCACCTTGGCCTCCCAAAGTGCTGGGATTATAGGTGTGAGCCACCGCGCCCAGCCGATGTCACCTTTCCCATCTACCACTCCACACTTTTAAAGATATTTCATAAATAGGTAATAGCATTTTTGAGGGTGAAAACAGACACCAACTTTAAAATATCCAAAACGTTAAATCTTTAAATGCCTAGTTTCATATTACATTACATATCTTCTTTTTGTTCTCTCCTCTACTAACACAAATAAGAAAGTACAAAGTCACATTCAAAGATGAGTCTCTAATTGATATTAATACTTCTAATGTCCTATATCATAACATCAAACAAAACATAAAAACCAACTCTTATTAATTTTGAAAGATGTTACAAAATGCTCCACAATCAAATTTATTCTGTATGATATATACTTTATATATACACTGAAAAGCTTTAAAGATAAAACACGTAGAAAGTACCAATTAGAACCATCAATTATTTTATTGCAACAAACTTTAATACACTATTTAATTATATCTGACACAGTAATAACCTCCATTTAGAAAGGAAGAAGGCAAATCCTGTCAGCCACAGAAGCCAGGGAACACTACCTTGTTACTCATCTGAAAGCAGTAACGGCTGCATTTTTAACTATGTGCGGGCAAAAATCCCACAAACACAATGACCATATAGGAGTAAATGAATTAAAGAATGAATAAAATGTATATGTATGTGTTTATGAATATATCTTTCTACCTAAGCAAAGGAGGTGATGACAGTCAGGTAAACAGATAAATAAAAACCAACATTTTTAAAGCACTTACTACTATGGTTTAGGTTCCTTTAATAATTCAATGGTCAAAAATATGAGATATTATTATTAGCTAATAATATTAGCTTCAGCTGGGCGTGGTGGCTCATGCCTGTAATCCCAGCACTTTATTATTATTATTTATCTATTTATTTTATTTTATTTTTTTGAGACAGAGTCTCGCTCTTTTGCCCAGCCTGGAGTGCAGTGGCATGATCTCGGCTCACTGCAAGCTCCGCCTCCTGGGTTCATGCCATTCTCCTGCCTCAGCCTCCCAAGTAGCTGGGACTACAGGTGCCCGCCACCACACCTGGCTAGTTTTTTGTATTTTTTTACTAGAGACGGGGTTTCACCGTGTTAGCCAGGATGGTCTCAATCTCCTGACCTCGTGATCCACCCGCCTCGGCCTCCCAAAGTGCTGGGATTACAGGCGTTAGCCACCGTGCCCGGCCTATCCCAGCACTTTGGGAGGCTGAGGTGGATGGATCACTTGATGTCAGGAGTTTGAGACCAGCCTGGCCAACATGGTGAAACCCCGTCCCTACTAAAAATACAAAAATTAGGTGTGGTGGTAGGCCCCTGTAATCCTAGCTACTCGGGAGACTGAATCACGAGAATAGTTTGAACCCAGGAGGTGGAGGGTGCATTGAGCCGAGATTGCACCACTGCACTCCAGCCTGGGCAACAAAGCAAGACTCCATCTCGAATAATAATAATAATAATAATAATAATAATAATAATAATAATAATAATAATAGCTTCATATTACAAATTAGATAAAAAAGACCCAGACATGCAAAATAACTTACCCCAAGTCACAGGGCTACAAATAAATAAGGTTTACCTGCTTACCAAATATCTACTATTTCCATCCACCAACGTATGGTAGAGCCACTCATATGTAGTAGGTTTTGTTCTACTTTTTTTGAGTGGTAGATTTAACTTATTAATATATATTTAAAACCTACGCCATCAAACAGAAGACAAGTAAAAGTTTCTATTACAGTTGATGAATGCTGAAAGAATGACAGAATTAAAGTATCACTGGACATCAGTCATAGTTAACTGCTGCTAACCTCACAAGATGGAACAACTAATGATGAACACACAAACACAACCACCTAGGAAGTAGTCTAATCATTAAAAAATAAAAATCAACTTTCAATGTGATCAAGGCTCTATATCCAACTATCATTTAACGTGGGAGGAAAGAAGAACATGTTAAAACATACCACAAAAGATGCATGCAGCAAAAGTCAGACTGTAGGAAATATTACATGACAAAGACCTGGTTTCATCAACAAATAAATTGGAAGAAAATGAAAAACAGATGAACCTGTACATTAAAAGAGACATACGGATCTTTTTAAGATCCTGATACAAACAAATTATTAAAAAATAGTAAAAATTATTAAATTTTGAGAAAATTAGAAATTTGGAAATTGCATTTTGGGGGGGTCAGTTTTTTTGGATAATGTTAAAAGAAATTTGGAGTTATTTTTTAGGTGTGATAATGGTATTTCTGTGATTTTATTTTGACATCCTTATCTTTTAGAGGTATAATATGAAATATTTATAAATGGAAAATAAGTCAATAATTTGTTTCAAAATAATAAGAAGTTGGGGGACAGTGAAGTGGGATGTCAAGTGAAGATGGCAGGCTTTCTCAGGGCCAGACAGTAAATATGTTAGGTTTTGAGGGCAGTGTTGTCTCTGTATCAACTATTCAATTCTGTCACCGTAGCATGAAAGCCATAGACAATACCTAAAGGAAAGGAATGGCTGTGTGCCAATAAAACCTTATTTATAGTAATAGGCAGTGAGCTGGGTTGGCCCATCAGCTGCAGTTTGCTAGCCCTTGGTATAAATAAATCAAGACTGATAGTGAGGTGATAATTATCAAAGCTGAGAGAAGAATAATTAGAAGTTCATTATGCTCGGCTGGGCGCGTTGGCTCACGCCTGTAACTCCAGCACTTCGGGAGGCCGAGGCGGGTGGATCACGAGGTCAGGAGATGGACACCATTCTGGCTAACATGGTGAAACCCTGTCTCTACTAAAACTACAAAAAAATTAGCGGGGCGTGGTGGCGGGTGCCTGTAGTCCCAGCTACTCAGGAGGCTGAGGCAGGAGAATGGCGTGAACCTGGGAGGTAGAGCTTGCAGTGAGCCAAGATCACGCCACTGCACTCCAGCCTGGGTGACAGAGCAAGCGTCCATCTCAAAAAAAAAAAGAAGTCCATTATGCTCTTCTGTTTTTGTATATGTTATACGTTTTCTTTATGTTAAAAAGCCTGGACCACATTTTCAATCACTGATCTATTTCTTTCTACAAATTAAAGTTTCATTGAACACACATTTCCAATACATCCCACATCAAATTATACATTAATTGATACCTAGAAGTTGTAAGCGGTCCTTGGCCATAACCAAATTAGTCATCATTTTAGCTTGAAGGCGTCTAGCTCTTTCACACTGTTCACCTGAAAGAAAAAAATTAATTAAAATATCTACATTTCCCAACTAATATTGTTTCACGATAAATTATCACCCAAACTACTTTCATGGGGAGTCACAGTCTTTATACAGAAATTTTTTTTTAAAAAAAAGAAGAAAATGTATACCCAAAAGAAAGAAAACAGAAGAAATTTTAAAAATACTATCTTTAGGCCAGGTGTTGTGGCTCACTTCTGTAATCCCAGCACTCTGGGCAGACAAAGCAGAATCACTTGAGCCCAGGAGTTCAAGACCAGCCTGGGCAACATAAAGAGATCTGGTCTCTACTTAAAAAAAAAAAAAAAAAAATTAGCCGAGCATGGGAGGGTGAGTTGCAAGGATCACTTCAGCCCCAGGAAGTGGATGTTGCAGTGAGAGGTGACCACATCACAGCATTCCAGCCTGGGCAACAGGGTGAGACCCTGTCTCAAAGAATACATATAATACCTATAAAAAAAAATAGTTACAGTTTCTCATGATGATTTCCAACCTACTGTGGTATTTCATAGATTTCAGGTCTTATTTCATGGGGTCTAAAATATTTTTTCCCCACGTTTCAAAATCTTTGAAATTGGGATTCATTTTACAACCAATGCTAACTTACTAATGCTATCCACCATGCTGCAGTCACAACATAGCTTTTCATTGCCCATGCATGCACCAATTTGGTCACAGATATTAATATTGTTGTTATAACCATATCTAAATAAAACTAAAACAGCCTCTTCAATAAGATTAAAATTCAAATTCTAAGTGATGAAAAGAGCATATATCATACTTTAATTAAATTGTTTTTTACTCTTACTGGTATAATACAAGGCATTTTTAATTAAATGAAATACTGTTTTGCTTTTCTTTCTTTCTGAGACAGAGTTTCACTCTTGTTGCCCAGGCTGGAGTGCAATGGCGCGATCTTGGCTTACCACAACCTCCGCCTCCTGGGTCCAAGCAATTCTCCTGCCTCAGCCTCCCAAGTAGCTGCAATTACAGGTGCGCGACACCACGCCTGGCTAATTTTGAATTTTTAGTAGAGACAGGGTTTCTCCATGTTGATCAGGCTGGTCTCGAACTCCTGATCCCAGGTGATTCGCCCACCTCGGCCTCCCAAAGTGCTGGGATTACAGGCATGAGCCACTGTGCCTGGCCCAAATACATTTATTAAGATAAATACAATCTGGCTGGGTACAGTGGCTCATGCCTGTAATCCCACAACTTTGGAAAGCTGAGGCAGGAGGATCACTTGAGGCCAGAAGTTTAAGATCAGTCACAGAAACACAGTGAGACCCTGTCTCTACAAAAAAATTTTTTTTAATTAGCTAAGTGTGGCCCACAGTGGCTCATGCCTGTACTCCCACCACTTTGGGAGGCTGAGGTGGGCAGATCACTTGAGATCAGGAGTTCGAAACCAGCCTGGCCAACGTGGCAAAACCCCATCTTCACTAAAAATACAAAAATTAGCTGGGCACGGTGGCATGCACCTGTAATCCCAGCTACTCAGGAGTCTCAGGCAGGAGAATAAATAGCCTGAATCCGGGAGGCGGAGATTGCAGTGAGCCGAGATTGCACCATTGCACTACAGCCTGGGCAAAAGAGCGAGACTCTGTCTCAAAAACTAGTAATAATAATAATAATAATAATAATAATAATTAGCTAAGTATGGTAGTGTGCGCCTGTGGTCCCAGCTACATGGGAAGCAGAGGCAGGAGGATCACTTGAGCCCAGAAGTTTGAGGTTGCAGTGAGCTATGATCACATCACTGCACTCCAGCCTGGGTAACAGAGGAAAGACCCTGTCTCAAAAAAAAAAAAAAAAAAGAAAAGAAAAGAAAAGAAAGAAAGAAAAATAAATAAATAAATAAATAGATCTGAAATCTGGACAATCATGTGAATATATCATAATTTGGGATGGCTATAAACAAATACAATCTTACCTTGTCCTGTAACTATAACAGCTATTCCTTTTTCCAGTTCTTCAATACCTTTCTTATACCATTCCACAGCTTGCTCCTTCTGTCCTGCTTTAAAATAAAAAATTATTTGTATAGATCGTATGAAGAGTACACTAAATATTGCAAATCATGCTGTTGAGAGGTAATACATAAAAAACAGGGTTGTGAACAAGTCTGAGAAACATTACTATATAACTTCTTAGTATTTTTATCATTGTAATGTGTATATGTAACTCCATTATGGGGAATATGGTCATGATGTTTATCAACATTTTGGGGCCGTGAGTCCTATTTTGCTTATCAGCCCATGGTATTGATCCTTATAACCTAAAATGCTGTATTACAGAAAGACATTTTATTTAGGAATTTTTAAGTATATATACTTTTGAAAAATACAAATATGATTTCAATAACAATGAAACAAAAAGCATTGTTTAATCTCATATTCAAATCTGATATAATGTGTTCATTGCTGGGTACCTCCTCTCTAGAGGAAGTTTTTATTTAACAATTGATTGCATCATGAGAACTGCTGTATGAGATTACAAGTGTGGCATTTAATAACACATTTCTATTTTCTTTGAACCCAACAACTAGTTTAAAACATTAATTCCTGATACAAGTTAAGCTTTAAAAGGACCTAAAAACTCAGCATAATCAAAAAGTATGTAGAATAACTTCTGTAAAGTGATCGTTATACTCAAATCACATATTTGAAAATTAATTTTTTGTTTTATTTCTATTATTTTTGAACATTTGTCTGAATGAAAATTAACTTCTTAGACTTTTTTTCTTTTTTTTTTGAGACAGAGTCTTGCTCTGTCACCTAGGCTGGAGTGCAGTGGTGCAATCTCGGCTCATTGCAACCTCCCCCTCCCGGGTTCAAGCGATTCTGCTGTCTCAGCCTCTGGAGTAGCTGGGGTTACAGGTGTGCACCATCACACCCAGCTAATCTTTGTAATTTAAGTATAAAGACGGGGTTTTCACCATGTTGGCCAGGCTGATCTTGAACTCAGGTGATCCACCCGCCTTGGCCTCTCAAAGTGCTCAGATTACAGAGGTGAGCCACCGCGCCCGGCCTCATTTTTTTTTTTTTTTAAACAGAGTCTTGCTGTCACCCACACTAGAGTGCAGGGGCACAATCCTAGCTCACTGCACCCTCCAACTCCTGGGCTCAAGTGATCCATCCTCTTCCCTTGGCCTCCCGAGTAGCTAAGACTACAGGCATGTGCCACCACACTTAGCTAATTTTTGTGTATTTCTTTTGTAGAGATAGGGTCTTGCCATGTTGCCCAGGCTGGTCTTGAACTCCTAGGCTCAAGTAATCCTCCTGCCCTGGTCTCCCGAAGTGCTGGGATTACAAGCCTGAGTGACCACACCTGGCCTCATGTCCCCATTTAATCAAACAAAAATTTCCATACTATTCCTTATTATTATTTGAAATTTCAAAATCAATATAATACAATGACTCTTGATGAAACAGACGAAGTCTATTTATTTATTTATTTATTTATTTATTTAGATGGAGTCTCTCTCTGTAGCCCAGGCTGCAGTGCAGTGGCACGATCTTGGTTCACTGCAACCTCCGACTCCCTGGTTCAAGCGATTCTCCTGCCTCAGCCTCCCGAGTAGCTGGGGTTACAGGCACGTGCCACCACACCCAGCTAATTTTTGTATTTTTAGTAGAGACGGGGTTTCACCATGTTGTTCAGGATAGTCTCGATCTCCTGACCTTGTTGTGATCCTCCCACCTCGGCCTCCCAAAGTGCTGGGATTACAGGCGCTCACGAGCCACCGCACCTGGCCACATGAAGTCTTATTATAAACACCACACAAAGTGACTAAGAAATGCCGTCTCCTTATGACTATGTACTACCTCCCCGATTCTTCTGTTTCTTCACCCTGAAAATAACTAACCATATTCATCCCCTTAAACAGGTCAATTTCTTATGTTATAGAATTATCAGTATTATATACTACGGCTGGTTGACAGTAGGTGCTCAAAAAGTACTTGATAAGGACATGTAAAGAAAAGTTTATGAAGACTGGGCACAGTTTGCTCACGCCTATAATCCCAGCACTTTGGGAGGCCAAGGCAGGAGGACTGCTTGAGCCCAGGAGCTCAAGCCCAGCTTGGGCAACATGGTGAGATTTTATCTCTACCAAAAAATTTAAAAATTAACCATGATTGGGGATACACATCTGTGGTCCCATCTACTTGGGGGACTGAGGAGAGAGGTCACTTGAGCTGAAGAGGTAGAAGTTGCACTAAGATGTGATTGTACCAGATTGTACCATTGCACTCTAACCTGAGCAAAAGAGCAAGACCCTGACTCAAAAAAAAAAAAAAAAAAAGAAGAAGAAGAAAAAGAAATTATTAAGAGTTTGTTATAAATTAACTAAAATTATTTGGATGCTCACCTTCCTGTTTTCCATAAAGAAAACACCTGTTTACATGTATTTTTGTTTTTTAGTTTGAAAAAGGGAAAATTATAGAAAATAGTGTAATAGCACTTGTATTCTGAGTGGCAACAAAAGTGATAACAATGTCATATTTGGCTTAAAATTTTAAAAACAAAATGAGTACAATGTAACAGATACAAAAGAAGTTCCTTTTTTAGTGCCTCTTCCCATTCCCATGCTCCTTCCCTTTTTTTTTTTTTTTTTTTTTTTGAGACGGAGTCTCACTCTATTGCCCAGGCTGGAGTGCAGTAGGCATGATCTCGGCTCACTACAACCTCCATTTCCCAGGCTCAAGTGATTCTTGTGCCTCAGCCTCCCAAGTAGCTGGGATTACAGGTGTGCACCACCACACCTGCCTAATTTTTTGTATTTTTAGTAGAGACGGGGTTTCACCATGTTGGCCAGGCTGGACTCAAACTCCCGACCTCAGGTGATCCGCCCGCCTCAGCCTCCAAAAGTGCTAGGATTACAGGCATGAACCACCACAGCCAGCCTCAACCATTTTTTCTATTATTAAGATATTGAGGTTGTTTCCAGTTTTTCAACATTTCAAACAATGCTGTAACATTTTTCTACCTGTCCCCTAATGCATACCTGCAGTTTCTTTAAGATATATGCTTAAGAAATAAAAGTAGGCCAGGGGCGGTGGCTCATGCCTGTAATCCCAGCACTTTGGGAGGCCGAGACGGGTGGATCACGAGGTCAGGAGATCGAGACCATCCTGGCTAACACAGTGAAACCCTGTCTCTACTAAAAATACAAAAAACAAATTAGCCAGGCATGGTGGCGGGCGCCTGTAGTCCCAGCTACTCCGGAGGCTGAGGCAGGAGAATGGCGTGAACCCAGGAAGCAGAGCTTGCAGTGAGCCACTGCACGCCAGCCTGGGTGACAGAGCAAGACTCTGTCTCAAAAAAACAAACAAACAAACAAAAAAGAAATGAAACTATTGAGTCATAGTTTGTCACATTTTCTCTATTCACCAGAAATCAACAAACTGCTTTTTAAGATTGCTTATTCCAGCTGGGCACGGTGGGTCATGCCTGTAATCCCAGCACTTTTGGGAGGCTGAAGCGGGTGGATCACCTGAGGTCAGGAGTTGAAGACCAGCCTGGACAACATGGCGAAACTCCACCTCTACTAAAAATACAAAAATTAGCCGGGCATGGTGGCATGTGTCTGTAGTCCCAGCTACTCAGGAAGCTGAGGCAGGAGAATCACTTGAACCTGGGAGGCAGAGGTTGAGGTTGCGGTAAGCCAAGATCATGCCACTGCATCCAGCCTGGTCAACAGAGCATGACTTCATCTCAAAAAAAAAAAAAAATATATATATATATATATATATATATAGTATATATAAATATATATAGTATATATAAATATATATAGTATAAAAATATATATACTCTATATATAGCATAAAAATATATATATATATATATATAGTAGGCAGAGTCAAATATAAGTATTGCCAAAGAATTAAGACATAATTGGCAAGTAAGCGTATAAAAAGATGCTCCACATCATTAGTTGTTAGGGAAGTACAAATTAAAATCCAAAGATACAACAATGCACCCAATTTTGAATGGCAAAAAAACAAAAGAACATAAAAATACCAAAATATTACGAGACAAAGGGTAATGGACCTTTCATTATGTTTGCTGGTAGGAAACAAAATGGCACCCAGTTGGAAAAACAGTTTGGTAGTTTCTTATGACATTAAACATATATTTACCACATGAGTCAACAATCTCTTCTTCTACATATTTACCCAAGAAAAATGCAAACTTCTAAGACCTGTACATGAATTTACAGTACCTTTATTCATAAAATTTAAAAACAGGAGGATGGGCATGGTGGCTCACACCTGTAATCCCAGCATTTTGGGAGACCAAGGAGGGAAGAGTTCAAGACCAGCCTGGCCAACATGGTGAAATCCCATCTCTACTAAAAATACAAAAATTAGCTGGTTGTGGTGGCGGGCACCTGTAATCACAGCTACTTGGGAGGCTGAGGCAGGAGAATCACTTGAACCGGGGAGGCAGAGGTTGCAGTGAGCTGTGATTGCGCCACTGCACTCTAGCCTGGGCAACAGAGCAAGACTCCATCTCAAAAAAAAAATTAATTAATTAATTAAACAACAACAACAACAATAACAAAAACAGGAAACAACCCAAATCATTTAGTGAATGGAGTAACAAATTGTGGTATCTCCACACGTGGAATACTATTCAGCATTAAAAAGAAACAAACTACTGACATATGTAGGAAAAGGGATAAATCTCAAAAATATTATGCAAAGGGAGAGAAGCGAGACACAAAAGGCTACATACTACATGCTTCCATTTATATATGACATGCAGTGAAGATAAAACCATAGGGACAGATCTGATTTTTTTTTTTTGAGATGGAATTTCGCTCTTGTTGCCCAGGCTGGAGTACAATGGCACGATCTCAGCTCCCTGGAACCTCCGCCTCACAGGTTCAAGCAATTCTTCTGCCTCAGCCTCCCAAGTAGCTGGGATGAAAGGCACGTGCCACCACGCCCGGCTAATTTTGTATTTTTAGTAGAGACGGAGTTTCTCCATGTTGGTCAGGCTGGTCTCGAACTCCTGATCTCAGGGGATCCACCTGCCTCGGCCTCCCAAAGTGCTGGGATAACAGGCATTGAGCCACCGTGCCCAGCAGATCTGATTTTTAACAAACATGATATTCCAACATTTAATGTATAAGAATATCCATTTGGGCTTGGATTATAACATCAGCACTAAAATTTTGATTACTATAGTAAGATTAGAAGAGAACTAGAGCCAGGTGCGGTGGCTCATGGCTGTAATCCCAGCACTTTGGAAGGCTGAGGCAGGCGGATCACCTGGGGTCAGGAGTTCGAGACCAGCCTGGCCAACATGATGAAACCCAATCTCTACTAAAAATACAAACATTAGCTGGGCGTGGGGGTGGGTGCCTGTACTCCCAGCTATTTGGGAGGCTGAGGCAGGAGAATCGCTGCTTGAACCCAGGAGGGAGAGGTTGCAGTAAGGGAGGTCGCACCACTGAGAGAGACCCTGTCTCAAAAAAAAAAAAAAAAAAAAAAAGAGAGAGAACTAGAAAAAAAGTTTTAAAAACATCTGTTTGAAGGGATTAGTGAGTTTCCAAAACAATGAAAATTACCAAAATTTAGAAAGGAGGGACCATATCAAGCCCATTAGGATGGTTATTATTTTAAAAATTATCGAAATATAAAAAGGAGAGAAGCCAGCAGAGATGAGCCCAGCATTTGGAGCACTTTTCTTTCCTTTTTTTTTTTTTTTTTTTTTTTGACAGTGTCTCACTCTGTCGCCCAGGCTGGAGTGAAATGGTATGATCTCGGCTTACTGCAACCTCTGCCTCTCGGGTTCAAGCAATTTTCCTGCCTCAGCCTCCTGAGTAGCTGGGACTACAGGCACACGCTACCACGCCCAGCTAAGTTTTGTATTTTTAGTAGAGACGGGGTTTCACCATGTTGGCCAGGATGGTCTCGATCTCCTGACCTCGTCTACTTGAAGTGACTGTGAACTCTGAAAGTGGTGGAGAAAATAAGCAAAGCTTTCAGTGGACTCATGCAACTAAACAGACAAAAAATGAATTTCAGAGCATGCCCAGGAGAAGCTGTGGCAAAAGATTTTGGCTGGGACCCTGAATGAATGAACAGTTAAGAACTGAGCCACAGCCAGGCGTGGTGGCTCATGCCTATAATTCCAGCACTTTGGGAGGCTGAGGCAGGTGAATCACGAGGTCAGGAGATCAAGACCATTCTGGCTAATACAGTGAAGCCCCATCTCTACTGAAAACACACACAAAAAAACGCCAGGTGAGGTGGCTCACGCCTGTAATCCCAGCACTTTGGGAGGCTGAGGCGGGTGGATCATGAGATCAGGAGTTCGAGACCAGCCTGGCCAAGATGGTGAAACCCCATCTCTACTAAAAACAGAAAAATTAGCTAGGCGTGGTGGCGCACGCCTGTTGCCTCAGCTATTTGGGAGGCTGAGGCAGGAGAATCACTTGAACCCAGGAGGCGGAGGCTGCGGTGAGCCAAGATCGTGCCATTGCACTCCAGGCTGGGTGACAAGAGCGAAACTCTGTCTTGAAAAAAAAAAAAATTAGCCAGATGTGGTGGCACGTGCCTGTAGTCCTAGCTACTCTGGAGGCTGAGGCAGGAGAATCACTTGAAGCCAGGAGGCGGAGGTTGCAGCGAGCTGAGATCGTGCCATGGCACTGCAGCTTGGGCAACAGAGTGAGACTCCATCTCAAAAAAAAAAAAAAAAAAAAAAAAAAAAAGAACTGAGCCAGACCATACAAGAACTGAAACCCATATTCAAATTATTTCAATCCCTTAATGTAGGGGTTGGCAAACTACAGCCCATAACTTACACTGATTATCCTTTAGATACATTTATAGCAGAAAATCCAATCTTCCAATGGTCTCCAGTGCACAAAAGGCCTCCAAAATCCTTTAACATTAGCTCCCAACAGTCCCTAGTTTCTCATAGACATTTCTCTTTTAACTCTATGACCCCATATAACACTCAAATTCAACCAACCAGACTACATCAAATCAAGAAAGAATTTGGGTGGCAGAAACTTACAACCACTTGTAGTTTAAATTATTAGCCAATAGTGTAACTACATTATCTAATGCATGCCTTAGCAAACTATGGACTAAGATTAAATCTAGTAAGCTGCCTATTTTTGTACATAAAGTTTTACTGGGTCAATCTTACCATGTGACAGGGTTGAGTAGTTATGCTGCAGAGCTTAAAATGTTTACAAAATTGATAAACATAAAAACAACCCAATTAAAAAATGGGAAAAGAACATTAATAGACATTTTTCCAAAGAAGATACACAAATGGTACATAAGTACATGACAAAATGCTGAGCATCATAAGTCATTAGAAAAATACATGCAAATCAAAATCACAACGAGATACCACTTCATACCCTTTAGGATGACTATTATTTTAAAAAATGAAAAATAACAAATGTGGAGAAACTGGAACCCTTGTACACTGCTGGTGGGAATGCAAAATGGTGCAGCCCCTATGGAAAACAGGTTGGCAGTTCAAAAATTTAAACAGAAAGTTACCATATAATTCAGTAATTCTACTCCTAGGTATATATCCAAAAGTATTGAAAGCCGGGACTTAAACAGATATTTAGACCAATGTTCATAGCCACATTATTCACAATAGATGGAAACAATCCAAATATCCATTAATAAAAAACGTGGGCTGCACACAGTGGCTCATGCCGAGGCAAAAGTGGACTGACTGAGCCCAGGAGTTAGAGATGGTGAACCACATGGTGAAACCCTATCTCTACAAAAAGTACAAAAATTAGCCAGGCATGATGGTGCACACCTGTGGTCCCAGCTACTTGGGAGGCTGAGGTGGTAGGACTGCTTGAGTCCAGGAAGAGGAGGCTGCAGTGAGTTGATTGTGCTACTGCACTCTAGCCTGGGTGACAGAGCAAGACCCAATGTCAGAAAAAAAAAAAGCAGGGGTGGGGTGGCGGGTGTACATGAGTTGGAAAAAAACGAAAAAATACTTTTTTTTTTAGACTGGGTCTCGCTCTGTCACCCATGCTAGAGAGCAGTGGTATGATCTCACTGCAACCTCCGCCTCCTAGGCTTAAGCGATTCTCCCACCTCAGCCTCTTGAATAGCTGGGACCACAGGTGTGCACCACCACACCTGGTTAATTTTTTTCTAAAGACAGGGTCTCTCACTATATTGCCCAGGCTGGTCTTGAACTCCCGGGCTCAAGTGATACTCCCACTTAGCCTCCCAAAATGTTGCGATTACAGGCGTGAGCCACCGCACCCAGCCTAAAAACACAGTTCTAATCAGTGATATCCCCCTTTGCTTTACTATATTCCTCTATTAGCCACTTATGAGGTTTTGCAGATTGTAAAGACTAAGAGGTGGAGCATGGTGGTTCACACCTGTTCTCTCAACACTTCGGGAGGCTGAGGTGGGCGGGTCACTTGAGCCCAGGAATTCAAGATCAGCCTGGGCAACATGGTGAAACCCCATCTCTACCAAAATAAAAATAAAAATTAGCCGGGCGTGGTGACATGTACCTGTAGTCCCAGCTACTTGAGGGGCTGAATGGGAGCAGGAGATTGAGGCTGCAATAAGCCATGTTCTTACCACTTCACTCCAACCTGGGTGACAAAAACAAACAAACTGAAAAAACACAAGGAAGATCAAATATATTGAAATGAAAAAAATTCCAAAATATGGTAAGTGAAAAAGATTGCAAATTGTTTTGCATATTTTTTTCTCTGATGAATATTTATGTTTATGTAAGTACAAAAAGTTAAGAAACTTATTAGTAATCATTTCCCTTATGGTAAGGTTAAGGAAGATTTTCAAGTTCTATACTTGTGCACTATTTTACTTCATTTTTTAGAGACAGGGTCTCACTCTGTCACCCAAGCTGGAGTGCAATGCCATTATCATAGCTCACTGTAGCCTTGAAATTCTGGGCTCAAGCAATCCTTTCACTTCAGCCTTCTGAGTAGCTGGGACTAGAGACATGCACCACTACACTGGGCTAATATTTTTTAATTGTTGTAGAAATGGGGCCGGGCACAGTGGCTCACACCTGTAATCCCAGCACTTTGGGAGGCTAAGGAGGGTAGATCACTTGAGGCTAGGCGTTCGAGACCAGCCTGGCCAGCTTGGCCAGAAACTCCATCTCTACCAAAAAATACAAAAATTAGCCAGGCATGGTGGCACATGCCTGTAATCCCAAGCTACTTGGGAGGCTGAGGCACGACAATCACTTGAACCTGGGAGGCAAAGGTTGCAGTGAAAAAGAAATGGGGATCACGAGGTCAGGAGATCGAGACCATCCCGGCTAAAACGGTGAAACCCCGTCTCTACTAAAAATACAAAAAATTAGCCGGGCGTAGTGGCGGGCGCCTGTAGTCCCAGCTACTTGGGAGGCTGAGGCAGGAGAATGGCGTGAACCCGGGAGGCGGAGCTTGCAGTGAGCCGAGATCCCGCCACTGCACTCCAGCCTGGGCGACAGAGCGAGACTCCGTCTCAAAAAAACAAAACAAAACAAAACAAAACAAACAAAAAAAAAAAACAGAAATGGGGTCTTGCATACCCAGGCTAGTCTCGAACTCCTGGCTTCAAGTGATCCTCCTGCCTCAACTTCCAAAAGTGCTAGGATTACACGTGTGAGCCACTGCACCTGGACTGCATTATTTTTTAGTATGTTACTGTAGAAACAACAGAAATGCTGATATTCATCTTTAAATAGAGGTAAGAGATATGCGTAACAGATTAACTTGCAAATTATCTACTGTACGTTTTCTTTCAAATATTAGTGAGACCCAGATTGCCACAAGAAGGGTCAAAACATGGGTAGCTTGGGGTAGAGTGAGAGGATATGTGTTTGCAAGTATGTGAGTTAGAAGGCAAAGATTTAAGTCCTTGTTCCACCATTTAATAGCAATATGATTTTGGAAAAGTCAGTTAATCTGTCTGGGCGTCAAACTCCTTACCTGAAAAGCAAGTATTTCTTTTACCTAACTCTGACTTGTGGCAAAAATCATATAAAATAGGGTATATGATGATACTTTAAGTAATAAAGTGGTATGGAAACACTACTTTTAGTATCTTTATTATACTTAGTAAATTTGTTGATTAACTTAAATCCTCCTTCTCCTGAACTGTGTGCACAGTTGTATGTTCCTGACATTTGCTCATCTATGTTATATAAAGCCCACCAGTTTTACTTATCTATTTAATCCTTAAGTATTCTCACACAAACCATTCCAAGGAACAAATATATCCATTTTCCTACAATTTTCTGATGGCAACTTGCAAGTGACAAAATTAGCAGAGTAATAGATATCTAAAAATCTCAATTAAAGCCGGGCGCGGTGGCTCACGCCTATAATCCCAGCACTTTGGGAGGCCAAGGTGTGTGGATCATGAGGTCAAGAGTTCGAGATCAGCCTGGCCAAGATGGTGAAACCCCATCTCTACTAAAAATACAAAAATTAGCCAGGCATGGTGGCAGGCGCCTGTAATTCCAGCTACTTGGGAGGCTGAGGCAGGAGAATCGTTTGAACCTGGGAAACAGAGGTTGCAGTGAGCCGAGATTGTGCCACTGCACTCTAGCCTGGGCGACACAACGAGACTCTGTCTCAGAAAAAAAAACAAAAAACAAACACTCAATTAAGCCAGGTATGGTGGCACACACCTATAGTCCCAGCTGCTTGAGAGTCTGAAGTGGGAAGATCACTTAAGCCAAGGAGCTCGAGTCCAGCCTAGGCAACATATAATGAAATGGGAATAGTCCATTTCATTTAAGGACTACTGATTATGGCCCCTGTTCTCAAAGAAAAAAAAAAATCTCCTGGTAGACTTTCATGGTGTGTTAATCCCCAGCAAACTACATGGACCACAAAGCATTATAATCACTGATTAATTCAGGGATGAATTACTAATAGCCCCTGATTAATTCTCTCATAGTTCACCATTAGAGAAAAAGTGCTTTCTACTATAATTTGGTAAAAAAGACCCAGTGTGATGGCTCATGTCTGTAGTCCCAGCACTTTGGAAGACTGAGGTAGGAGGATTGCTTGAGGCCAGGCATTCAAGACCAGCCTGGGTAATACAGTAGGACCCTGTGTCTACAAGAAAAAAAAATTTAATAAAACATTTAGTAAAAAGATTGTATTTGCTTTCACTAGCAAACATTTATTTTCAAGGTAAAGAATTATTTTCCCTGTTAATTTGGAAAGTTTTAAACCCTATGTAAAGACATCATTCTAGTTTTTGACATTTTCTTTGACCCTTAAAAATGTCACCTTATTTATCTTCTTCAAAAAATTTCTGTGGCCAGGTGCAGCGACTCACGCCTATAATCCTAGCACTTTGGGAGGCCAAGGCAGGTGGATCACACGAGGCGAGGAGTTCAAGGCTAGCCTGGACAACATGACAAAACCCCATCTCTATTAAAAATACAAAAATTAGCCAGGCGTGGTGGCGCGTACCTGTAATCTCAGCTGTTCGAGAGGCTGAGGCAGGAGAATCACTTCAACCTGGGAGGCAGAGGTTGCAGTGAGCCGAGATCACACCACTGCACTTCAGCCTGGGCGACAGAGCGAGACTCTGTCTCAAAAAAAAAAAAAAAAAAAAAAGAGCATTTTGAATTTTTCATTAAAAAAAAAAAAAAAAGCCAGGAGTCTGGGAGCAGGGCTCACGCCTGTAATCCCAGCACTTTGGGAGGCCAAGGAGGGGGGATCACTTGAGCTCAGGAGTTCGAGACCAGCCTGGCCAACATAGTGAAACCCTGTCTCTACTAAAAACTACACAAAAAATTAGCTGGGCATGGTGCCATGTGCCTGTAGTCCCATCTACTTGTGAGGCTGAGGCAGGAGAATTGCTTGAATCTGGGAGGCAGAGCCTGCAGTGAGCTGAGATTGCACCACTGCAGTCCAGCCTGGGTGACAGAGTGAGGCTTTGTCTCAAAAAAAAAAAAAAAAAAAAGAAAAAAGCCATGACACTAAATGAGGAGTGAGGTTAGGGAGAGACTTCCATCTCTTTTTTTTTTTTTGTCATCACAATTAACACAAATATTTTTGTTTTAATTTTTTTTTTTTTTTTTTTTTGAGACAGAGTCTCGCTCTGTGGCCCAGGCTGGGGTGCAGTGGCGCGATCTCGGCTCACTGCAAGCTCTGTCTCCTGGGTTCTCGCCACTCTCCTGCCTCAGCCTCCCAAATAGCTGGGATTACAGGCGCCCACTACCACGCCCGGCTAATTTTGTTTTTGTATTTTTAGTAGAGATGGGGTTTCACCGTGTTAGCCAGGATGGTCTCAATCTCCTGACCTCGTAATCTGCCCACCTCAGCCTCCCAAAGTGCTGGGATTACAAGCGTGAGCCACCACGCCCGGCCTATATCACTGTTTAAATACCTCTCGTTCTTCCCCATATCTCGTTTATGCTGCTACTGCATCCTAAAAAGTGTAACAGAAACTAGTACGAAGAGTTAACAATGTTCTAACATAACCTCTAGCTGTAATCTTAAAAGTACTATTGATTTTATAATAATAGTTCTCATTTACTGAGTACCTATTATGTGCAAGCACTAAGCATTTAAAAAAACATCTCAGCATACATAGTTAAGTAACTTGCCCAAGATCCTATATGGTCAGGACTTAAATGTCAATTTCCATAAGAAGCCCCACAGTTCGAAAAGGGTAAAAGTTGACCCTCAAATCTAAGAAACAGGCCAGGTGCAGTGACTCATGCCTGTAATCTCAGCACTTTGGGAGGCTGAGGCAGATGGATTGCTTGAGGTCCGGAGTTCGAGACCAGCCTGCTCAACATGGTGAAACCCCGTCTCTACTAAAAATACAAAAATTAGCCGGGTGTGGTGACTTGCGCCTGTAATTCCAGCTAGTTGGGAGGCTGAGGCAGGAGAGTCGCTTGAATCCAGGAGGCAGAGGCTGCAGTGAGCTGAGATTGCCCCCACTGAACTCCAGCCTGGGTGACAGAGCCAGACTCTATTTTAAAAAAAAAACAACAAAAAAAAAAGCTGAGAAAGAGAAAAACAGCTTATTACATCCAGGAGCTGGCCTACTACTATCAGCTAAACCTTGGTATTTGACCTGGCACTTACAGAATATCAGCATGAAATAATGCCACTCTGTGACCACGGTGGAACAAGACCACTCTACAATTATGTCTAAACACAGGCAAAACATGAACACTGAACACTGTCTAAACCATGAAATACCAAATATTCCCCTTTTCCAGATAAGGAGTGACCTTTGCTTTTTAACTACTACAGCTTTAGACCTCACTCTAGTCTTTTCTTCTAGATAGGTTTTATGATATTTATTCATAGAATTATTCGCAGCTCCTGGTAGCATCCAAATCAGAGCAAAACCCTGCTTCTTTAAACCCTCCTTAAAATCACCAAATAAACGAGCCCAAATCCTATCTTCCTAACACCCTTTACTATGACATACCATGGTTATTACATATGTGTGTTCTCCCTGGCTACAGTGGGTAATAAACCCCACTTGCTCAACCATAGATAAGTTTGTTCCTGGAGATCGCTGACTGGAGGGCATTGACAAAGCCCACTTATGAAGTTAATTCTCTCCCTCTGCAGAAGAGCAGAAAAGTTATGTAAGTAAGTACAGCAAGTCTACAGAATATCTACATAGCTGTAAAACATTTAATAACCTCTAAGAAAATCACAGATTTTGACATTTTTCTTTCCTCATTAACCAGAATGAGCTGCTGAGATGTGACAGTGTTCAAAGATGTTTTATTGTATATGATGTGTAAGATCAGCGATTGTTAATAATTCACAAACGAGAGAAAAAAAGGCTACGTCAGCATATTAACAGCTTCACTGGCTTTGCAGGACTATTATAGGTCAAGAGTGAAGAAAACTGGCCAGGCATGGTGGCTCATGCCTGTAATCTCCGCACTTTATGGGGTGAGGTGGGAGGATTGCTTGAGCTCAGGAGTTCAAGACCAGCCTGGGCAATACGGCAAGACCCTGTCTCTATCTTGCTTTAAAAACATTTTTAAAAAAAAGAGTGAAGAAAACTAATATAGAAGAGTAGACAATCTATACTTTGCCAGACATCAAAAACCCAACTACTACTGGGTGGAACAGAGAGAGTAAGACAGCGGAAAAGAGGCAGGAAGTGTTAGGGAACATCCTTCTTCAATAATTCAATATCCAGCCAGGTGCAGTGGCTCACGCCTGTAATCCTAACACTTTGAGGGGCCAACACAGGCAGATCACTTGAGGCCAGGAGTTCGAGACCAACCTGGCCAACACAGCGAAACGCCATCACTACTAAAAAAATAAAATGATTCAATATCCATTTACTAACTATCCTTAATTGTCATCAGGACAACTAACAGTAATATGGGGAATCCAGTTTAATAGGGTTTAACTGTATTCAACATGAGGAAAAATACAACAACAAACCAGCTAAAAACAGAACAAGGGATAAAGTCCTTAACAGTGGCTGCTTTTTTGTGTCTTTGGTGCAGATGCCAGTAAATAATCTTGAGAAAAAATGTGAAATGTTTATTGCATATGTAATCAAAAGCAATGTTATCTTTTGGAAAAGTATGGTATCATCTGAATGTCCATTTATCAGATTTATTCCTTAGTTTAATCAGAGAAACTTCAAAGTAGAATCATTAGGCCCAAAGAAAGCAAGTCTGAAATTAATCCTTTCAAAGTGGTAGGTATAGGTTTTCAGCAGTGTAAGAAAATTACCAAATCTGACACTTCTGATTTCTACCCTCCATCCTCATCTTCTGAAAACAGATATGGACAGCTATTTTATACGTGAGTTTTAAATAAAGTACAATATTGAATTATATAGAATTATGAAATATGATAATTTTCATTAACTTTTTATAAACCGGTAAGCAAAAAATAAAACTCTAAGACCCCCAACTGACTCATGGACCCTCCCCTTGCCAAAGGCATTCCAAAGTTAACCTAAAAAACTAGTTCAGGCCATAATGAGAAGTGGGGGTTGGACATGACTCATATACCCTCTTCCCTTTGGAATTCAGGGACAACTGATCAGCATTAACATTAAAACAGAGATATTAAGATGTTTTGTAGCAATAAGACGCCAAATTCCCAGCCTGACTCTAGTACAGCATCACGTCAGATAGCAGGCCATGAAAGAAATTGAAGTATTTTGAGGCCGGGCACAGTGGCTCACGCCTGTAATCCCAGCACTTTGGGAGGCCGAGGCGGGTGAATCACGAGGTCAAGAGATCGAGACCATCCTGGCCAACATGGTGAAATCCCGTCTCTACTAAAAATACAAAAAAAATAGCTGGGCATGGTGGCCAGCGCCTGTAGTCCCAGCTACTCAGGAGGCTGAGGCAGGAGAACGGCGTGAACACAGGAGGCGGAGCTTGCAGTGAGCCGAGATCATGCCACTGCACTCCAGCCTGGGCAACAGAGCGAGACTCTGTCTCAAAAAATAAATAAATAAATAAAACAAATTGAAGTATTTTACCCTAAATTATATTTCTTTGACATATTCTGAAATGGCCCTGCAAAGCTTTCTCTTGTGGGGAAAATTTACGTTCTGTAGAGAATCCTTTCCCTTTCCAAGTCTTTTACCTGAACCAGGAGAAAATTAACTTAAGAGTCTGCCACCTTTTAAAGTCTCATAAGAAACATTTACAATGTATTCTCTCTGAAGCCTGCTACCTGGAGGCTTCATCTGTACAATAAAAACCTTGGTAGCTACAACCTATTATTTTAAACCAGACACTCCCTTCTATGGATTCCAGGACTTTAGATAAGCTCTTTTGACCAATTGCCAATCAGAAAATCTTTGAATCTGCCTACGACCTGGAAGCCTCCCCAACTTCTAGTTTTCCTGCCTTTCCAGATGGAACCAATGTACATCTTACATGTTTAACTGACGTCTTATGTCTCCCTAAAGTGTATAAAATCAAGCTATAGCCTGACCACCTTGGACAGATGTTCTTAGTATCTACTGGGGCTGTGTCATGGGCCACTGGTCACTCATATTTGGCTCAGAATAAATCTCTTCAAATATTTTACAGAGTTTGACTCTTTTCATTGACGAAGTTATTTTAAATACACACATGCACATATACACAGCTTAAAACTATGAACAGAAAAATATTTTACTTAGACAATTTCTGTCTTCAATGCCTGACCCTTTAGCCCTTTAAAACTATGAATAGAAAAAATTTTATTTAGACAATTTCTGTCTTCGATGCCTGATCCTTTAGCCCTAGAATATCCTGAGAAACTTGATCTCTCATTCATATAACATACTAGGCCTTTTCTGTTTAGTCCTATGTACTTGAGAAATCAAACGTCACCTAGAGAACCTCCACCATTGTGTTACCCAGGAGATTTCCGGCTTGTCTACCCACAGGAGCCATGCAGAACATGATATGTTCTAGTAAATCCAAAGAACCATTATTACAACCTTCTCTTTTCCTCCAAATATTCCAAGGAGCTCATTACCAGCATTACAACATAAAAACCTGCAGTATAAAGTAAAAAGTACAATATTTTGAGTCCATTCACTTAAATTCTATTTTTGTTTCTGCTATGAGTCTACTCTTTGAACTTCAGCTTCTCCTTATATAAAATGGCTATCACAGGTTTTCAGTCTTCCAAGAAAGTTCAACAATTAAAATATTTACCAACTTAGTCAACAGGGCAAGATCACCATCTCTACAAAAAATTAAAAAATCAGCCAAGCATGGTGGTATATGTCTGTAGACCCAGCTACTAGGGAGGCTGAGGTGGGTGGATCGATTGAGCCTGCGAGGCTGAAGCTTCAATGAGCTAAGATGGTGTCATTGCACTCCAGCCTGAACAACAGACCAAGGCCCTGTCTCAAAATGTGTATGTACATATATACGTATGTACACATATTTGTTAATCACATAACTAATGTTTTAACACATCTCACTGGAGAGGAAATAAATATTTCTCAAATATCTAAAATGCAGAGCTGTACAAATTAACTGGCCTCCAATTAATATTTGCTTTAATAAATAGACTTCACATATCCTCTCATTAAGTCAACAGAATTTGCTGTGCTATTCCTCTTTTGAAATAGTTTGGTTTCAGATAAATTAAGGCCTTTATGAAAATTCAGTGTCAAATTTGAGTATGGGTTGGGTGCAGTGGGTCATACCTGTAATCCCAGCACTTTGGGAGGCTGAGGCAGGCGGATCACTTCAGGTCAGGAGTTCGAGATCAGCCTGACCAACATGGTGAAACCCTGTCTCTCCTAAAAATACAAAAATATTAGCCAGGCATAGTGGTGCACGCCTGTAGTACCAGCTACTCGGGAGACTGAGGCAGGAGAATCGCTTGAACCCGGGAGGTGGAGGTTACAGTGAACCGAGATTGCGCCACTGCACTCCAGCGTGGGTGACAGAGCAAGACTCCATTACAAAAAAAAAAAAAAATTTTTTTTTTTTTTAGTATGCCATAAGAATAAAATTCAGAATAAACATAGTCACCATATAAAACACATTTACACGAGATTTCATTAAAATGAGATTTAATTTGGCATTTAACATTTCAAGGTACCAAATATTTCAATTAACACTACTACAGTTTGATGCCATTTCACTGAATCAAATAAATTGGTTTTCAGTTAAATTAGAAGATAAGTAGGCCAGGCGCAGTGGCTCACACCTGTAATCCCAACACTTTGGGAGGCCAAGGTGGGCGGATCACGAGGACAGGAGATCGAGACCGTACTGGCTAACACGGTGAAACCCCGTCTCTACTAAAAAATACAAAAAAAATTAGCCAGGTGTGATGGCAGGCGCCTGTAGTCCCAGCTACTTGGGAGGCTGAGGCAGGAAAATGGCGTGAACGTGGGAGGCGGGGCTTGCAGCGAGCTGAGATCTCGCCACTGCACTCCAGCCTGGGTGACAGAGCAAGACTCTGTCTCAAAAAAGAAAAAAAAAAAAAAAAGATAAGTCATGTTGCCAAGGGAATGGCAGTGCATGATATTACCAGCTCCTTGATAGTTAACCACAGAGTTAGGAAACCTTTGAAGAGACTGCCTATTCAACTCGTTTCTATTTGATCATATATATTTTGAAGCACTGAGAAAGAGGAAGAATTACATTCTCTTGGAACTAAGGTTTGTGTTGTCAAGGACAGCCAAGAGGCAGACTTCAAAAGTGCACTCTCTTTCAACCACTGGATTAAGACTAAAGTACAAAAATATTCAATCTCCTAAAGAAAAAATTTAAGATAGATAAGAACCATAACAATATAAACTCAGTTTTCTTTTTTTTTTTTTTTTGAGAGATGGAGTCTTGCTCTGTTGCCCAGGCTGGCGTGCAGTGGCGTGATCTTGGCCCACCGCAATCTCCACCTCTGGAGTTCAAGCAATTGTCCTGCGTCAGCGTCCCAAGTACCCGGGACTACAGGCGTGCACCACTATGCCCAGCTAATTTTTGTATTTTTAGTAGAGACGGGGTTTCACTAATATGTTGGCCAGGCTGGTCGCGAACTTCTGACTACAAGTGATCCGCCTGCCTCTGCCTCCCAAAGTGCTGGGATAACAGGCATGGGCCACTGCACCCGGCTTGAGCCACCATGCCCAGCCTTTTTTTTTTTTTTTGATGGAGTCTCACTCTTCTCACCCAGGCAGGAGTGCAATGGGTGAGATCTCAGCTCACTGCAACCTCCACCTCCTGGGTTCAAGCGATTCTCCTGCCTCACCCTCCCGAGTAGCTGGGATTACACACACCCGCCACCACATCCGGCTAAAGTTTTACTTCATTTTTAAAGGAAAATGAATCTTTAAGTAATCCGTTTCAGTCTGAACTAATTTAATTTGGCATATTACGGCATCAGTTGTTGAACTAAAATCAAACTAAAGACCTGTCAAGGCTGGGCACGGTGGCTCACACCTGTAATCCTAGCAGTTTGTGAGGCCAAGGCGAGTGGATCACTTGAGGCCAGGAGTTCGAGAACAGCCTGGCCAACATGGTGAAATGCTGTCTCTACTAAAAATACAAAAATTGGCTGGGTGTGGGGTGGCACATGCCTGTAATCCCAGTTACTGGGGAGGCTGAGGCAGGAGAATCGCTTGAACCTGGGAGGTGGAGGTTGCAGTGAGCTGAGATCGCGCCATTGCACTCCAGCCTGGGTGAAGAAGCGAGACTCTGCCTCAAAAAAAAAAAAAAGAGCTGTCAACAGCCCATTCTGATGTCCACATTAGAAATCAAAATATGTGCCGGGCGCGGTGGCTCACGCCTGTAATCCCAGCACTTTGGGAGGCCGAGGCGGGTGGATCACGAGGTCAGGAGATCGAGACCATCCTGGCTAACACAGTGAAACCCCGTCTCTACTAAAAATACAAAAAATTAGCTGGGCATGGTGGCGGGCGCCTGTAGTCCCAGCTACTCGGGAAGCTGAGGCAGGAGAATGGCGTGAACCCGGGAGGCGGAGCTAGCAGTGAGCCGAGATCGCGCCACTGCACTCTAGCCTGGGCGACAAAGCGAGGCTCTGTCTCAAAAAAAAAAAAAAAGAAAAGAGAAAAGAAATCAAAATATAAAGAAAAAGTTGTGAACAGAAACATTATCAGTAGGAAGAGTATGAAATATGCATTACGCAGGAGAATGGCGTAAACTTAAACATACCACTTTACAATAAAACCTAATTTATTTTTTTTTTATTGTTCAAAATATTGTTGAAATTTCTCCAGCCTGGCTAACATAACAAGATCCTATCTCTAGCAAAAAAAAAAAAAAGAGGATCACTTAAGCCTAGGAATGAGCCTTGAGGCTGCAGTGAGCTATGATCACATTCCACTCCAGCTTGGGTAAGAGAGTGAAACACTGTCTCTAAAATAAATTAAATAATTATTTTTATATATTTAATATATCCAACTGAAAAATAAAAATGTTTAGGAGGATTTAAGTATAATAGATATATTCATATATGTGATACTGAAAGATTTAAGTCACCAGCCTGAGACCTGAGGTCTGAATTCTATTTCTTCCACTTATTCCTCACATGGAACTGCTATTTCTTCAAATCTAAGAGCTCAGGGTCTTTTATTTTTCATGCCTAGGTTTTCCTTAATTTCTCCTTTTATCCTACCTCCCAACTCCCATCAACCAACAGTGTTAACTAAAATTTCCTTGTGGTCGGTCACCGCGGCTCACACCTGTAATCCCAGCACTTTGGGAGGCCAAGGAGGGCGGTTCACTTGAGGTCAGGAGCTCGAAACCAGCCTGGCCAACATGGTGGAACCCCATCTCTACTAAAAACACAAAAATTAGCTGGGCGTGGTGGCATACACCTGTAATCCCAGCTGCTCAGGAGGCTGAGGCAGGAGAATCGCTTGAATCCGGGAGGCAGAGGTTGCAGTGAGCCAAGATCATACCATTGCACTCCAGCCTGGGCAACTGAGCGAGACTCCGTCTCAAAAATAAACAAATAAAAAAAATTTCCTTGCATGTTCTGACTTTCTCTTCCTAAATAAAACAATTAAAACAGTTTTTTTTTTTTTGGTTTTTTTTTTTTTTTTTTTTGAGACAGTTTTACTCCTGTCACCCAGTTCGGAGTGCAGTTGCACGATCTCAGCTCATTGCAGCCTGAACAACCTGAGCTCAAGTGATCCTCCTACCTCAGCCCCCCAAGTAGCTGGGACTACAGGCATTTGCCACTGCGCCTAGCTAATCTTTGTATTTTTCACAAAGACAGGGTTTCACTATGTTGCCCAGGCTGGTCTCAAACTCCTGGGCTCAAGCAATCCACCCACCTCAGCCTCCCAAAGTGCTGGAATTACAGGCATGAGCCACCGTGCCCAGCCAAAAATGACCTACTTTTTTTTTTCAAGACGGAGTCTTGCTCTGCCGCCCAGGCTGGAGTGTAGTGGCACGATCTCGGCTCACTGCAACCTCCACCTTCCAGGTTCAAGCACTTCTCTTGCCTCAGCCTCCTGAGTAGCTGGGACTACAGGCATGTGTCACCATGCCCAGCTAATTTTTGTATTTTTAGTAGAGATGGGATTTCACCATGTTGGCCAGGATGGTCTCAAACTCTTGACCTCATGATCCACCCGCCCCGGCCTCCCAAAGTGTTGGGATTACACGCGTGAGCCACCATGACTGGCCCAAAAAATGATCTACGCTTAAACATGTTCCTCTATTCTAAAACTTTGCAACCGTTTTAATTCTCCCCAAGGGATCCTGGATGTTCTTAAGAGGTGATAAAGAATGGAGCTTGCTGGGTGGGCACAGTGGCTGACACCTGTAATCCAAGCACTTGGAAGGTCGAGGCAGGCGAATCACCTGAGGTCAGGAGTTCGTGACCAGTCTGGCCAACATGGTGAAACACCATCTCTACTAAAAATACAAAAAATTAGCCAGCCGTGATAGGGCGCACCTGTGGTTCCAGCTACTCGGGAGACTGAGGCAAGAGAATCGCCTGCGTCTGGGAGGCAGAGGTTGCAGTAAGCTGAGATCACGCCACTGCACTCCAGTCTGGGTGACACAGGGAGACTCCATCTCAAAAAAAAAAAAAAAAAAGAATGGAGCAGTTAACAAAAAATTTCCTTCTACAAACACATAGTATTCTTAAATGTTAACACCCTCCTTGACCTCTCTTAACCGTCACTCTTTCCTTACTGTCCAAAACAATGAATAACTGCCTCTTTCCTTATATCCCACTTCCCACTCCCAGGCCCCACAAAGGAAACAGGTTTCAACAAGATTGAAATTCTAGAACAGTTTTTGGAGTTGGCAGTAGAGACAGACACTATGAATGAAGTGCAGATTGTTTCTGTTTTCACTAATGGACAATGCAAGTGAGTATCTAATTGAGGTGTGGTAGAAAAGTGGGTGTTTTTGGCAGAGGGAGAAGCAAGATCTCAGCATACTGGAAGTAAGGATAAAAGGGGAGAATTGTAAAAGTTAGACTTCTCCTAATTTCACTTATTTTCCATAAAAGAAATTTCATTATTAGCACAGGTTTGGAATAACCTCCTTTATCTTTTGGGCCTCATTTTCTTCATCTCTAAAATGCTGATACCAATAATACCTTCATCTCACAAAGTTATTGTGAGGATTAAATAACACTTTTCATGGTCTGGGATGGTTGCTATTTTTTTTAAAAAGAAAAAAGATAACACATGCAAAGCTAATAGCACAATGCCTGGCACATATAATAAAAAATGTTAGCTTAAGGCCAGGCGCGGTGGCTCATGCCTGTATTACCAGCACTTTGGGAGGCCGAGGCGACCCGATCACGAGGTCAGGAGATGGAGACCATCCTGGCCAACATGGTGAAATCCCTACTCTACTAAAAATACAAAAATTAGCCAGGCGTGGTGGTGCGTGCCTGTAATCCCAGCTACTCGGGAGGCTGAGGCAGGAGAATCGCTGGAACCAGGGAGTCGGAGGTTGCAGTGAGCCGAGACTGCACCATTGCACTCCAGCTTGGGCGACAGGGCGAGATTCCGTCTCAAAAAAAAAAAAAAGTTAGCTTAAAAGAAACCCGAAAGATGTAGTATCCTTGCTTTCATTCAGAAACATACATAGTTGTTTTAGGTTTTACTGTAAAGTGGTATGTTTAAGTTTACGCAATCCATTCATCAAACATTTCAACTTGGAAATTAAAGGCTACTTTGGAATACTGTTTTAATTAAAATCAAAGCAACAGGGGGAAAAGTTTTATGCTAAATATAACTTCATTGAAAAAGTATTCAGGAATCGTTGTACTGATAAAATGATTATCTTGATTAAAATGATGCAAATTCAACTGCAGTCATATGCAGCTATTTCTTTCAAAATTGTCACCATTTGTTCTTTTTTTCTGACACTACAATACTCTGCTTTCATTAAAAGCCAGTAAGGCGGCACTGCTTCTTCAATATCAAAACCTTTTGGAAACCTTGGTTCAGAGGAAGCTGCACACTCTTCACAGTGCTAGAAAGGATCAGTGTGGTCACTCTAGGACAAATGTCACTGTCATCAACACGTCTGGGTGTCTCATAGTGACCTGGGTCATGCAGAAGTGTGGGGGAAGGCTGGTGTCTGAAACAAAGTCGACAGCTACAGTGCCCTGAAAGGGGAGAGGTTTTAAGAATACTAGAAGATGAGGCTCCGACCTACGGGAAAGCAGTCTCCCGGGGCATATCAATTCCGGGGGTGCACCGTCCCCTCCCGCAGAAAAGGGACGCAGGTGTTGCCCTCCCCCGGCGACCCCACCGCCTTCTTCCCGGCGCCGCCGCCCCCTCCCCCAGCCCCCTAGTTACCTTTCTCATCCTCATCGATGCGCAGGGCAATGGAGATGTACTCGAAGGCCTGTTTGTGGAAGACTCGGACGCGCTCGGCCTCGCCGCCCGGCACCGGCGCCGGGGCCGAGGCCGAGGCAGGTGCTGGCGCGGCCCCGGAGCTCCTCTTGGCTGCCATGAGGGCGCGGGAGAAGCGCTGGCAGAGCCACACGAAGAGGAGCCCCAGGTGGAAGGCGACCAAACGCAGCAGCGCGAAGCCTACAAACAGCGGGTAGGAGAAATAGTACAGGTTCCGCTTATGCGGCGACTCGGGCGGAGGGGCCGGCCCGGCGGCGGGAGGGGCGGGGGCCAGGCAAGGGGGCGGAGGCCTGGGAGGCACCGGGTTGCTGGCGCCGCCGGAGCCTTTCTTCTTCCCTCGTCCACCCGGAGAATTCATTCACAGCTCTCACTGCCGCCGCCGCCATAACCCGCCTCCCGCAGACCGACGGGAACCAAGCGACGGCGGCAGCCACTGCTACGGCGGGGGCCACAGACCCCCGTGTGCCCGCCGGTCTCAGGAGCTCCGCACTGCCGCACGCTGCCCGCCGGCCCCGCCCCTTTCTCCTTCCTCGGCCAGGAGCACAACCCCTTCTCCTCCTGCAGTCGGTGGCTCGGGCCCCTCCCTTCCTGTCGCTGTCCTCTCCGCCGCCTGGTGGCTCCCAGCGGCGGCCGCGCACGCGCACGTCTTCCCGTGTTTTTCTCCGGCGCGCGCGCGCACGGCGCGTCTTTGTTGACCGGGGCCCCTGTACGCGTGTGCGGCCCCCGCCTCTCGGCTTTCCCACTCAACTACAGTTCCCAATGTGCAGTTCGGCTCACGTCGGCAGCCCTGGAGAGCTCCTGCCAGGAAGCCTTCGTAATCGATCCACGGAAGGGGGAATTGCGGCTTGGGGTCGCTCTGCTGGTTCGCTAGGCTCCTCTCTCAGTGTCGTCGTTTTCTTAGATTTCTTTCATCTTTTTCTGCCAGGCGACCTAAGTCTTCTCCGAAGGATAATTGGCCCATCTCAGAAGCAATGGATATCAATCTGGGAATTAAATTAGCCGGGCGTGGGGGCGCGCGCCTGTAGTCCCAGCTGGTTGGAAGGCTAAGGCCGGAGAATCGCTTGAACTCGGGAGGCAGAGGCTGCAAGTGAGCTGAGATCGCGCCACTGCACTCCAGCCTGGGCGACAGAGCGAGACTCCGTCTCCAGAAAAAATAAAATAAAAATTTAAAATCTGGGAATTATTTGAGAGGAAAGCAATTGTGAAGATAAGAAACTTCAGGTCACTGCAAACAACAGCAACAAAAATGTTAGCTCAGTGTGATGAGATCAACTAACCCAGGGGTTTAACTAAATTAGTGCATATTTAGATGTCTAATATGAAAGATAATTTATTTGAATAAGGGAAATCTTAGGTTTTGCATAGTTACCATCCCATAGTTTACTGAAGAATCTACACTTTTTTTTTAATCTACTCAGCATCCCTTCCTTTGGGAAACTACCTGCTTGTCTCTGCTCCCTGTATTCTAATGAGCTGCAAGCACAGAACCCAGACCGCAAAGGCGGAAGCAAACACTAGGTCAGTCAGATTCTCCTGGGACCTGGAATCTTGGCTGGAGACCCACCGAATAGAAAGTAACTGGAAACGAGTGCTCTTAAGAGCGGGTTTATCAATGCATCACATTGAGCTCCCCCAGAGCTGCTGGGTTCCTGACTGGTCACTTGGTTATGTAATCTATCCAATACACTAATCAGTCTGTTTCTCTGTTTCTCTCTTCCTCTCTCCTTTCCCCCTTCCTTCCTTTCGTCTTTTCCTCTCTCTCCCTCTCTCTCTATCTCCACGTCTTTTTTCTCTTCTCTTTCTCTTTTTACTTGAGTTAGCCATAATTATTTCTTGTTTCCTAAAACTAAGGAAGCCAAACTGATAAAAAGACTCCGTTATTTACAATGTGAGGTTTCCAAATGCCCCATGAGAGCTTCCAGCTTCCAAGAATCTCCACATTCTGCCACAGCTTTATTTTTTTATTTTTTGGACAGGGTTTCACTCCATTGCCCAGGCTGGAGTGCAGTGGCGCAAACAACATGACTCACTGCAACCTCCACCTCCCTGGCTCAGGTGATCCTTCCACCTCAGCCTCCCGAGTAGCTGGGATCACAGGCACACGCCACTGGGCCCGACTAATTTTTGTATTCTTTATAGAGCCAGGGTTTCACCATGTTGCCCAGGCTGGTCTCCAACTCCTGGGCTCAAGCAATCCGCCTGCCTCAGCCTTCCAAAGTGTTGGGATTACAGGCATGAGCCACCCCATCGCGCCCCCAGCTAATTTTTTTACTTTTTTGTTGAGACAGGGTCTTGCTATGTTTCCCAGGTTGGTCTTGAATTCCTGGGCTCAAGCAACCTGCCCGCCTCGGCCTCCCAAAGTGCTGGGATTACAGGCATGAGCCACAGCACCAGCCAATTTTACTTAATTATTCCCCGCCAGTACTGCCCTACAAATGTCACAGGCTATTGCAAAAATGACCTACTCCCTGTTTCCCTCTTATTGCTCCCCCTTCTCTGTGCTTATGCTAGACCCTCATTCTGAAATGCCCTCTTTCGGCCGGGTGTGGTGGCTCACGCCTGTAATCCCAGAACTTTGGGAGCCGAGGCGAGCAGATCACCGGAGGTCAGGAGTTCAAGAGCAGCCTGGCTAACATGGCAAAACTCCCTCTATACTAAAAATACAAAAGTTAGACAGGTGCATTCCTGTGGTGGTGGTGCATTCCTGTAATCTCAACTAGTGCGAGGCTGAGGCAGGAGAATCACTTGAACCTGGGAGGCTGAGGCCGCGGTGAGCCAAGATCATGCCAATGCACTGCAGCCTGGGCGACAGAGCGAGACTCTGTCTCAAAAGCAAACAACAAAAAATTTTTTTTAATGAAATGCCCTCTTTTAAATCTGATTCAGGGCCTGGCACGGTGGCTCACACCTGTAATCCCAACACTTTGGGAGGCCAAGGCAGGCGGATCACCTGAGGTCGGGAGTTCGAGACCAGCCTGACCAACATGGAGAAACCCTTTCTCTATTAAAAATACAAAACTAGCCGGGCATGGTGGCGCATGCCTGTAATCCCAGCTACTCGGGAGGCTGAGGCAGGAGAATCACTTGAACCCAGGAAGTGGAGGTTGCAGTGAGCCAAGATAGTGCCATTGCACTCCAGCCTGGGCAACAAGAGCGAAACTCCATCTCAAAAAAAAAAATTACATTTATACATATATCATATAAACAAGAAGTGTGTTACTTAAATGCACAATTTAAAGAAAAATAATAAGCAGCATTCCATTTAAGAAAAATGAATGTAACCAACTCCTCGAAGCACTCTGTGAGCTCCTCCCTAATCTCAATGTCTTGTCTCTTCCTCTAGAGGAAGCCACTATCCTGAATTTTATATTAATCATTCTAGTGTCTCATTTTTAGTTTGCAGTGTATTTATGTATTTCTAAACAATGTCTTGTATGATTTTGCCTCACTTTGACTTTATGGAAATGTAATCATATTTCAAGTATCCCTTGTTTGCTTTCCCTCCTCAAAATTTTTAAAATTTCATTTATTTTATTTTAAGAAAATAGAGATGGAGTCTCACTGTTGCCCAGGTTGATCTCGAACCCCTGGGCTCAAGTAATCCTCCTGTCTTGGTCTCCCAAAGTGCTGGGATTACAGGCATAAACCGCTATGCCTGGCTACCTACTTAATAATTAAGTGTTGAAATTCCTCCCTGTTGATTTCTATAACTGTGGTACATTTTCACTGCTATATAGTATTCCATTATATGAATTTACCACAACCTATTTTACTGTTCAACTATTGATGGATATTTAGTTTGATGCCAGTTTTTTTTCTTAAATAACTATCTTCCCTGTTATCCCTCCAGTCTTTACCACTAAAGAAAGTAACTTACTTTCTAACTTAGCCAAGATAGGGCCCAATAGTAGAATGGTTAAATGGTCCTGGAGTCAGACTGGTTGCATTTAGATCTGTGTTCCATCACTTTCGGTGATCTTGGATGAGTTACTCAGCTTCCACATCTACAGTATAACACTAGAGTAGTAAGCAGTGCCTGGAATCAAGTTGATACTTGATTATTTTTTTATTTTTTGTTTTTTTTAATTTTTTTAAATTATCTATTTTTTGTTTTAAAAGTTCTTTTGTAGAGACAAGGTCTCTCTCACCGTGTTGCCCAAGCCAGTTTTGAACTCCAGCCCTCAAGCAATCCTCCCACTTCAGCCTTCCAAAGTGCTAGGATTACAGGCATGAGCCACCATGTTCAGTTTATTTCTATTTTTATTTTATTTTTTACTCACCATGATACTAACAAGGAGATTTGTTGGTTTTTTGTTTTTGTTTTTGTTTTTGAGACAAGGTCTCACTCTGTCACCCAAGCTGGAGTACAGTGGCGCCATCAGAGCTCACTGCAGCCTTGACCTCCCTGGCTCAAACCACCCTCTTGCCTCAGCCTCCTGAGTAACTGGGACTACAGGCATGCACCACCATGCTGGGGTAGTTTTTTTTAAAATTTATTTATTTTTTAAGATGGAGTCTCGCTCTGTCGCCAGACTGGAGTGCAGTGGTGCGATCTCGGCTCACTGCAACCTCCGACTCCCTGGTTCAAGCGATTCTCCTGCCTCAGCCTCCCGAGTAGCTGGGATTACAGGGATGTGCCACCATGCCCAGCTAATTTTGTATTTTTAATAGAGATGGGGTTTCTCCATGTTGTCCAGGAGGGTCTTGATCTCCTGACCTCGTGATCCGCCCGCCTCAGCCTACCAAAGTTCTGGGATTACAGGTGTGAGCCACTGCATCTGTCTGAATTTTTTGTTTTTTAGTTGAGATGAGGTCTCACTATGTTGCCCCAGATGGTCTTGAATTCCTGAGCTCAAGTGATCCACTCACCTTGACCTCCCAAAATGCTGGGATTACAGGCATGAGCCACTATGCTTGGCCATGAGGAAGATAGTTTTTGAATAAAGAATGGTTCTCCGACATTTCCTCTGCACTTTCACTATACTCTAGCTAATATAGACTGTTGGTCTGTACCTACTTTGCTCTTTTCCAGGACTACAATTACTCTCCTGTCATTTTTCATTCACTTAGAATGGCCTCGCCTCCTACTTCCACTGTCAAAGTCCTTCAAGACTTACCTCTAATGTTATATTTTTTTTTTTTTTTTTTTTTTTGAGACTGAGTCTCACTCTGTCACCCAGGCTGGAGTGCCATGGCACGATCTCAGCTCAATGCAACCTCTGCTTCCCATGTTCAAGTGGTTCTCCTGCCTCAGCCTCCTGAGTAGCTGCGACTACAGACGCGTGCCACCACGCCCGGCTAATTTCTTGTATTTTTAGTAGAGACGGGTTCATCGTGTTAGCCAGGATGGTCTCGAACTCCTGACCTTGTGATCCACCTTCCTTGGCCTCCCAAAGTGCTGGGATTACAGGTGTGAGCCACCGCGTCCAGCTCTGTTATATTCTTGATAAATTATTCCATTATCACCTCCAGCAGAAATGATCTTGTTTTTCAGTTGTTATGACAATATGGTTGTGTTACTCTGTGGCTCTTATACTATATTGCCCTGCAGGATGATTATTTAAACACTTCATCACCTCTTGATATAGATTGTAAACTTACTGAAGGCAGTGGTCACACTTTATACATTTTGCCTCACTTTTTGCATCCAGCCTGACACCTTGCTTATGGTACTCATTTAATAAATATGAGAAATTTGAAAAATGATTCAAACATAATGATTGTGTTAGATTTCTGATGCTATGTAATATACCACTCCAAAACTCACTGGCTTAAGATAGCAGACATTTATTTACACACAACTTTGTGACTCAGCAATTTGGGGTAAGTTCAGCTGGATGGTTCTTCTGATGGCCTTGCCTGTGGATCATTCCTGTGGATGTAGTCATCTGATGGCTTGACCGAATGGCTGTATGGCCTAGCTAGCCTCATTCATATGTTCAGAGGTTGATTGTGGCTATTAGCTGGGACATATGTCTCTAGCAGGATAGCCCTGACTTCTTTACATTGCATCTGGTTTCCAAGAGAGTGTGAGTGGAAGGTGTAAGTTCTCTCGAAACCTAAAATCCAAAGTTGCACAGTGTCATTTGTACTACATTCCATTGTCAAAGCAAGTCAGAAGGCCAACTCTAGTGCAATATATGGGAAAATAAGCTCCACATCTTGATAGAGAAGTAGCAAAGTCACATTGCAAAGGGGCATATATATGAGGATAGGAGGAATTGTTGTGGCCATCTTTGCAAGTAATTTAGCACAATGATTATGTGTAGAATTTCCTTCTACCTCATGTTCAGACGGCAGCTTAAGCATCTCATTTAAGACAGCATTTTCCAACCATTTTGCTGAATTATAAAAACTTAATTAACATGCTTAAGGCTGGATGCTGTGGCTAACGCCTGTAATCCCAGCACTTTGGGAGGCCGAGACAGGTGGATCACTTGAGGTCAGGAGTTCAAGACCAGCCTGGCCAACATGGTGAAACCCCACCTCTACCAAAAATACGAAAAATTAGCTGGGTGTGGTTGTGGTACGTGTCTGTGGTCCCAGCTACTTGGGAGGGTGAGACAGGAGAATCACTTGAACCTGGGAGGCAGAGGTTGGAGTGAGCCAAGATCACACCACTGAACTCCAGCTTGGGTGACAGAGTGAGACACTGTCTCAAAAAAACAAAAAACATGCTTAAGTTTAAGGAGAGAACAGCAGTGACAGTGATGATGATGACTACTACTACTTGCTAATATTTATCGAACCCATATTCTGAACTAAGCAGATGAACTTTTAGTGCCTTTTTAAAATATTGCTACTTCAGTTAAGCATTATCATCTCTTTTGTTTTCCCCCAAGACAGAGTCTCACTCTGTCACCCAGACTAGAGTGTAGAGTGCAATGGCAAGATCATGGCTCACTGCACCCTCAACCTCTCGGGCTCAAGCGATCCTTCCACCTCAGCCTCCTGAGTAGCCAGGAACACAGGTGCACACCACCATGTTTGGCTAATTTTTGTATTTTGTTTAGAGATGAGGTCTTAACCGTGTTGCCCAGGCTGATCTCAAACTCCTAAGCTCAAGCTCAAGTGATCTGCCTGCTTTGGCATCCCCAGTGCTGGGATTACATGTGTAAGCCACCTCATCTGGCCTCAGTTTTTTAAAATAAAGAATTTGGGGCTCTAAGAGTCTGTTATTTGCCCAACATCACATATTAGTTAATTACACTTACTGCCTCAGTAATTTAAGGTAAAAATCTGGGATCTCAAGAATAATATTTTTACATAGTCTGTTTCTATTTTAATTATGAAATAAGTATATTGTTAGCCCCTGAAGCGCAAGTGATGGGCTTTCATTCATGGGCATTATGTTGGGTTTCGGGCCTCCGGCCTCCCATTTACTGAGTCTCTGCTATCTGGTTGTACTTAATATTGACTGTGCTTTTCTGCACTTTTGCTCTTTTTTTGTATGGTAAAAATATGGGATTTAGAGTTAGTGGGACTGGGGTTGCTATTCTAGTTAATTCCTCTATAAAAATTACAAAATGAAAGAGTACATCTAAAACCTCCATCATGATGCCTGCAACATGACAGAGCTCAATACATTTTGTTTTTGTCTCTTATATCTGTAATGCCATTTCAGATTTCTGACTCTACTGGAATCTCATTTTTTAGTGCTCTAAACTCACATCTTCTGCTCCTTGGAATTATATCTCAGTCTCAAGACTGTTGTGAATTAACATCTTCCTAAATTTGTGTCAAAAAAAACAAAAAAAACAAAAAAAACAGTGCCTTCAGACACAGCGGTGCACACCTGAAGTCCCAGCTACTCAGGAGGATCACTTGAGCTCAGGAATTGGAATCCAGCCTGGGTAACATAATGAGACCCTGTCTCTAAAAAAAAAGAAGAAAAGTAAAGAAAGAAAAAAAATAATGCCTTGGTGTTACCCTGGTTCTGCAATGTGCCTAGATGAGATCCCAACCCTGCTAGCCATTCTACCTACAGTGTGAGAGCCTCCCAGTTTTCAGCTTGTAAGAACTTTCAGGACACTTAATCTTGAATGGAATCTGAGACAGTTTCACAAGGACAAAAAGAAGGAGCTAGGTACTGTGCTAACTAATCCAGGACATTCGGTCACTTTATCACTTTAACCCATATTTATTTACCACAGTGCCTACCATCAAATAGTTTTTTTTGGATATTTCGGCCCTACTTGCCTTCTAAGGAACTCTTCAGACCTTCAATTCGAGAGATTCTAGATTTCAAGTGTGGACCAATGACAGATATTAAGGACCTCTTTTCAACTAAAAAAATTAGTAAAAAAAAAAAAAAAAAAATGGCACATGTAGAGTCCAGTGAGGAAATGGCTGATTTTGAAAAAGGCAGAAAACCTAAAATAAGAAAAACAAATGAAAAGATATGGTTGGAGGGGAGGGATGAGAGAAGTAACAATTGGGGAATTATTATCCAATCTCTGTATTAAGAAGGAAAAACATAATTGTGAATGATTAGTCATCTCCCTGAATTGAGTCCACAATGTGGCACATATTATTCATTCATTTGTTCTATGAATAGATATTAAGAAACGGACAATATATCAGGCAATAAGTGGGGTGTCAGGATTAATAAGATGGAGTTTATAGTTTAATGCAGTGGCCAAAACTTCCAATAGCAACAGTGGTCAGGCATATAACATATATGGGTTCCATGTGTGGGTTGTGTGGCATGCAAAAATGCATGTATGATGTGAATGATGGAAACTATGAGAAGCTAAAGAGTTGCATCCTGTAATTGAACAGGACAGCTGTTACTCAGCTCCCACTGAGCTGATTTTTTTTTTTCTTTTTGAGACAATGTCTCTCTGTCGTCCAGGCTGGAGTGCAGTGGCACAATCATGGCTCACTGCCCCCTCAACCTCCAGGGCTCAAGTGGTCCTCCTGCCTCAGCCTCCTGAGTAGTTGGGACCACAAGTGCACACCACCATATCCCAGCTAATTTTTGTATGTTTTGTAGAGATGGGGTTTGACTGTGTTGGCCAGGCTGATCTCAAACTCCTGGACTCAACCAATCCACTTACCCTAGCCTCCCAAAGCACTGGGTTTATAGGCGTGAGCCACAGCACCCAGCTAGCTTCCACTGATTTTTGCCTTTCAGGAATGTGAAGCTTAACATTGTCAGATTTTTTTAATTTTTCAAGAGAAACCAGAATTCTAAATTTTTATGTGAAATCTATTGGCTAAGAGTTATTGGCTCAAAAATCATTGTTATTTTATTCTTTTTAGATACACGGTCTCCCTCTGTCAGCCAGGCTGAAGTGCAGTGTCAGAATTATAGCTCACTGGGGTCTCAAACTGCTGGGCTCAAGGGATCCTCCTGCCTCAGCTTTCATGCCCAGCTCAAAATTTTATTTATTTATTTATTTATTTATTTATTTATTTATTTTTGAGAAGGAGTCTTGCTCTGTCACCCAGGCTGGAACGCAGTGGCACAATCTTGGCTCACTGCAACCTCCGCCTCCTGGGTTCAAGCAATTCTCCTGCCTCAGCCTCCTAAGTAGCTGGGACTACAGGTGCCTGCCACAAAGCCTAGCTACTTTTTGTATTTTTATTTATTTATTTATATATTTTTGAGATGGCGTCTCGCTCTTATTGCCCAGGCTGGAGGTCAGTGGCACCATCTCGACTCACTGCAACCTCCACCTCCCAGGTTCAAGCGATTCTCCTGCCTCAGCCTCCCCAATAGCTGGGATTACAGGTGCCCGCCACCACACCCGGCTAATTTTTGTATTTTTAATAGAGACGGGGTTTCACCATGTTTGCCAGGCTGGTCTTGACCTCCTGACCTCAGGTGATCCACTCACCTTGGCCTCCCAAAGTGCTGGGATTATAGACGTGAGCCACCGTGCCCGGCCTAATTTTTGTGTTTTTAGTAGCGACATGGTTTTACCATGTTGGCCTGGCTGGTCTTGAACTCCTGACCTCAAGTAATCGGCCTGCCTTGGTCTCCCAAAGTGCTGGGATCACAGATATGGGCCACTGCACCTGGCCTCAAAATTTAAAAACAAACAAACCAGGCCAGGTGCGGCAGCTCATTCCTGTAGTCCCAGCTACTTGGAAGATTGAGGCAGGAGGATTGCTTGAACCCGAAAGGTGGAGGTTGCAGTGAGCTGAGATCATGCCATTGCATTCCAGCCTGGGCAACAGAGCAAGACTCCATCTAGAAAATAAAATAAAATAAAATAAAACAACAAAAAAACAAAACCAAAACTCCCAGTCACCAGTTTGAGATTTTCTAGTTTATGGAGGATTTGTTACTTCAGTGAAAATGTGAATGAGCTCATGGTTTTGAAATAGTAGGTGTAAGTATAAACTGTTACCTGACCTGCTCAATTTGATTAGCTATAATGCCAAGGAAACACAGCAGAGTCAGTTAGTATGAAACTTTAAATGAATACCCTAGAATGGCAATCTAGATTACCAGAGGGTGTATTCAGTTGGCCTTCTAAATAAAATATTTAGGTATATAAATATAATCTTATATATCTATATTTATAGTGGACTCCAGGACGCATGAAAATCTATAGTGGGCCGGGCGAGGTGGCTCACACCTGTAATCTCAGCACTTTGGGAGGCCGAGGTGGGTGGATCACCTGAGGTCGAGAGTTGGAGACCAGCCTGACCAACATGGAGAAACCCCATCTCTACTAAAAATACAAAATTAGCCGGGCATGGTGGCGCATGCCTGTAATCCCAGCTACTCGGGAGGCTGAGGCAGGAGAATCACTTGAACCCGGGAGGCGGAGGTTGCGGTGAGCCGGGGTTGTGCCATTGCACTCCAGCCTGGGCAACAAACGTGAAACTCCATCTCCAAAAAAAAAAAAAAAAATCTATACTGGACTCCAGCACGCATGAAAAGCAGAGTAAATGTTAGCACCAGGTAAATGCTGGGACACATAAAAGGAGTTGTCTGTTTTCAAAGGTAGTTGCTAGCAACTGCAGTGTTTTGGGAAAGACTCTTATTCTGAGACCCTCTGTCTTGTCAGATACCCGTTTCTCCACTTACTCTCTTCATTAATGTTTCCATTTGTATCATGTTCCCCAGCCCTCCCATACAGGATTTTTCCTTTGAGGCTTTGCTTAAAAATTTATTGTTGGTTCAATACTGTTCAAAAGATACCTACTACTTGGGAGGCTGAGGCAGAAGAATGGCTTGAACCCAGGAGGCAGAGGTTGCAGTGAGCCGAGATCGTGCCACTGTACTCCAGCCTGGCGACAGAGCGAGACTGTCTCTCAAAAAAAAAAAAAAAATTTAGACAGGATCTCTCTCACTCTGTCATCCAGGCTGGAGCGCAGTAGCACAATCACAACTCACTGCAGCGTCTACCTCCCGGGTTCAAGTGATCCTGTCACCTCAGCCTCCTGAGTAGCTGGGGCTACAGGCACTCACCACCACGCCTGGCTACCTTTTTTTTTTTTTTTTTTTTTGGTAGAGATGAGGTCTCATGACGTTACTGAGGCTGGTCTAGAGCTCCTAAGTTCAAGTGATCCTCCTGCCTCAGCCTCCCAAAATGCTGAGATTACGGGTGTGAGCCACTATGCTCAGCCTGAACTTCTTCAGACTTTAGGGTCATTCATCTTAACCTTTAATCACTTACTATCTTGTATTGTTATTTAAATGTATCACATGTATATGTCTGATGTAGCTGACCTAGAATACAAGTTTATGAGGGCAGGGACTGCAATTTATATTTACTCTAAACTTCCCAACTGTTTAAGATCCTCAACATCACCTCCACTTAGGTGATTCACTTCACTAGGAGTACTCACAGGACTCAATGTATTTATTTATTTTTTGAAACAGAGCTTCGCTCTGTCACCCAGGCTGGAGTGTAACGGCGCGATCTTGGCTCACTGCAACGTCCGCCTCCCAGGTTCAAGCCATCCTCCTGCCTTAGCCTCCCAAGTAGCTGGAACTACAGGCCCGCATCACCATGCCCGGCTAATTTTTGTATTTTCAGTAGAGACAGGGTTTCAGCATGTTGGTCAGGCTGGCCTCAAACTCCTGAAAAGCAAAATCAGCAAAAGGAAAGGTGCATGGGACAAAGTCTGGAGGAAACCAGGTGCAAACAAGGTTCCAAGAGTCCTCCCAGTAGTGTCAACAAAGGATATGCTTAATTCCTCCAGCAACAGGTTCAGAGGACGTGGGTAAAATGCGGTCTACCAGAAACACTCATCAGAAACTCAGTGCTTGGGCTTTTTGTTGGGACTAGTCATATCGGCACCCTCTGCCTAACACCTATCAAAATTCCAGACTCCTAGAAGGAAGGTGGGTGCTTAACATACACCATATTGTTTGTACAGCTTAGGTACAGTGAGCTACTCTTATTCAGGAAAAGTTTTGGCCGGGCGCCTTGGCTTATACCTGTAATCCCAGAATTTTGAGAGGCTGAGGTGGGTGGATCGCTTGATTCCAGGAGTTTGAGACCAGCCTGGGCAACATGGTAAAACCACATCTCTACAAAAGATAGAAAAATTAGCCAGGTGTTGTGGGGCATGCGTGTAGTCCCAGGTGCTGGAGAGGCTGAGGTGGGAGGATCGATTGAGCCCAGGAGGTGGAGGCTGCAGTGAGCCTAGATCATGCCAGTTCACTCCAACCTGGGCAAAGGAGTTAGACACTGTCTCAAAAAATAAATAAATAAATAAATAAATAAAAGGAGGAAAAGTTTTCTATCACTGTAGGAAACTATTACTGTTATTATTATTTTTGAGATGAGTCTCACTCTGTCACCCCAGCTGGAGTGCAGTGGCACGATCTTGACTCACTGCAATTTCCACCTTCCGGGTTCAAGCCATTCTCCTGCCTCAGCCTCCTGAGTGGCTGGGGTTACAGGAGCCTGCCACCACGCCCGGCTAATTTTTTTGTATTTTTAGTACAGATGGGGTTTCACCATCTTGGCCAGGCTGGTCTTGAACTCCTGACCTCATGATCCACCCGCCTCAGCCTCCCAAAGTGCTGGGAAACTATTATTTAAGTTCTCAGGCCGGGCGCGGTGGCTCATGCCTGTAATCCCAGCACTTTGGGAGGCTGAGGCAGGTGGGTCATGAGGTCAGGAGATTAAGACCATCCTGGCTAACACGGTGAAACCCCGTCTCTACTAAAAATACAAAAAAAAAAAAAAAAAAAAAAAAAAAAATAGCTGGGCGTGGTGGCGGGCGCCTGTAGTCCCGGCTACTCGTGAGGCTGAGGCAGGAGAATGGCGTGAACCCAGGAGGGGGAGCTTGCAGTGAGCTGCGATTGCGCCATTGCACTCCAGCCTGGGCAACAGAGCAAGACTCCATCTCAAAAAAAAAAAAAAAAGTTCTCAGACACTAGCAGCCAAGGTCCAATTTTGCAAGCAGGCCTTTCCAAGGATAGCAGTCTTAGACTTGCTGTGTTAACTCTTCTCTGCACACTCTCCATGAGATCTCAACAAATAATAGATGCTTACTAAATGCTTTAGTGAAAGAAGAAAGGCTGAACTCAGATTTTTTTTTTTTTTTTTTGAGACGGAGTCTCACTGTGTTGCCCAGGCTGGAGTGCAGTGGTGCGATCTTGGCTCACTGCAACCTCCGCCTTCCGGGTTCAAGCGATTATCCTGCCTCAGCCTCACGAGTAGCTGGGATTACAGGCGCCGGCCACCACACCCAGCTAATTTTTTGTATTTTCAGTAGAGCGGGGGCAGGGGGAGGGTGGTCGGGGAAGGGGGTTCACCATGTTAGTCAGGCAGGTCTCGAACTCCTGACCTCGTGATCTGCCCACCTCAGCCTCCCAAAGTGCTGGGATTACAGGCATGAGCCACCGCGCCCGGCACAGATTTTTTTTTTTTTTTTTTTTTTTTTTTTGAGACGGAGCCTTGCCCTGTCGCTCAGGCTGGAGTGCAGCGGCGCTATCTCGGCTCACTGCAAGCTCCGCTTCCCGGCTTCACGGCATTCTCCTGCCTCAGCCTCCGCAGTAGCTGGGACTACAGGCGCCCCCCACCACGCCCACCTAATTTTTTGTATTTTTAGTAGAGACGGGGTTTCACCGTGTTAGCCAGGACGGTCTCGATTTCCTGACCTCTTGATGTGCCTGCCTTGGCCTCCCAAAGTGCTGGGATTACAGGCATGAGCCACCGCGCCCGGCCCAGATATTTTTTTAATACTATTATACAATGAATTAGATCCATTACTCACATAAATATTCTTCTCATTGATTTATGTGTTACTTATAATTAAAAACTCTACCTATTTGGCTGGGCTCGGTGGCTTACGCCTGTAATCCCAGCACTTTGGGAGGCAGAGGCGGACGGATCACCTGAGGTCGGGAGTTTCTGACCAGCCTGACCAACATGGAGAAACTCCGTCTCCACTAAAAATACAGAATTAGCCTGGTGTAGTGGAATGCACCTGTAATCCCAGCTACTTGGGAGGCTGAGGCGAGAGAATTGCTTGAACCTGGAAGATGGAGGTTGCAATGGGCATAGATCGTGCCACTACACTCCAGCCTGAGCGACAAAGCGAGACTCCCTCTCAAATAAATAAATACATAAATATAAATAAAAACTATGGTATAACAAATGTATTTATATCTTTGCATATTCGCAAAGGTATAATAAATATATTTATATCTTTGCATATTCGCAAAGGTATAATAAATATATTTATATCTTTGCATATTTGCATAGGATAAAATTCTAGAAGTAGAATTATTGTGTCAAAGTGAAAATTTCTGGGAACAGATTGTGAAGAACGAGTAAAAATAATAGGCTGGGTGTGGTGGCTCATGCCTGTAATCCCAGCACTTTGGGAGGCTGAGGCAGGCGGATTGCCCGAGCTCAGGAGTTCAAGACCAGCCTGGGCAACATGGTGAAAACCCCGTCTCTACTAAAATACAAAATTAGCCGGGCGTGGTGGCGTGCGCCTGTAGTCCCAGCTACTCGGGAGGTTGAGGCAGGAGAATTGCTTGAACCCGGGAAGTGGAAGTTGCAGTTAGCCAAGATGGCGCCACTGCACTCCAGCCTGGGCAACAGAGCGAGACTCCTCCATCTCTAAAAATAATAATAATAAATTTCATTTTAGTTCATCCCATTTGTTGACTGATATATAATATTGTACATATCTGAGGGGTATATGTGATATTTTGATACTTTACTTGCGTACACTGTGTAATGATCAAATCTGGGCAATTGAGATATTATAGATATCAAGATATATTATAGATATTATAAATATCAAGTATTTATTTATTTTTATTTTATTTTTATTTGTTTATTTATTTTTTGAGAGTCTTGCCTTGTCACCCAGGCTGGCGTGCAGTGGTGCGATCTCGGCTCCTGGGCTCAAGCGATTCTCCTGCCTCAGCCTCCCGAGTAGCAAAGACTACAGGCTCATGCCACCATGGTCGGCTAATTTTTGTATTTTTAGTAGAGACGGGGTTTCACCATGTTGACCAGGCTGGTCTCAAGACTCCTGACCTCATGTGATCTGCCCGCCTCGGCCTCCCAAAGTGCTAGGATTACAGCATGAGCCACAATGCCCGGCATTTTTTTTTTTTTTTTTGAGACAGGGTCTCACTCTGTCACCCGGGTTGGAGTGCAGTGGCGTGAGGACAGCTCACTGCAGGCTTGACCTCCCAGGGCTCAAGTGACCCTCCCACCTCAGCCTCCCGAGTAGCTAGCACTACAGGACCGTGCCAGCATGCCCAGATAACTTTTTATATTTTTTGTATAGAAGGAGTCTCATTTTGTGGCCCGTGCTGGTCTCCGACTCCTGGGCCATGTTGCCCAGGCTGGTCTTGAGCTCCTGGCCTCAAGCGACCTGCCCACCTCGGCCTCTCAAAGTGCTGGGATTACAGGCAGGAGCCACTGGACTCAGTCTTATAGGGGAGCACATTTTAAACAACAGTCTTGTGTTAACATTGGATGGCAGAACATTAAAAAAAATTTTTTTGAGATAGAGTTTTTGCTCTGTTGCCCAGGCTAGAGTGCAGTGGTGCAATCTTGGCTCACTGCAACCTCTACCTCCTGGGTTCTAGCGATTCTCCTGCCTCAGCCTCCCGAGTAGCTGGGATTACAGGCGTGTGCCACCACGCCCAACTAATTTTTGTAGCTTAAGTAGAGACGGGGTTTCACCATGTTGGCCAGGCTCCTCTCGAACTGCTGACCTCCAGTGATCCGCCCACCTCAGCCTCCCAAAGTGCTGGGATTACAGGCATGAGCCACCATGCCCGGTCAGGTGGCATCACTATTAATCTCCATTTTACTGTCTGACTTTGTCTTTTTTTTTTTTTTTTTTTTTAAAGACATGGGATCTCACTATAGTGCTCAGGCTGGTCTCTAACTATTGGGCTTAAGCAATTCTCCCACCTTGGCCTCCCAAAGTGCTAGGGTTACAGAGGCATGAACCACTGTTCCTGGCCTCTGACTTTGTCTTTTAAAAGGGAAATGGTTTCAATTTAAATTAATATGGAATGGCTTTGGGCAACCTAAAATTAAGAGATATCAAAGTTATGTATTTTGCCTATCACTTAATAACCCATGACCTATTTATGAACATTAATTTAAGTGATAATAATTTGGATTGAAAAGGAAAGCATAAAATCAACACATTTAAAAACTGAAAATCACCGCCACTGTGGCATGCACCTATAGTCCCAGCTATTTGGGAAACTGAGGCAGGAGAATATCTTGAGGCCAGGAGTTGGAGGTTGCAGTGTTCTAAGATTGCTCCTGTGAATAGTCATTGCACTGCAGCCTGGACATCGTATGGAGAACCCATCTCTAAAAAGATAGAAAAAACATTTAAAAAATTAAGACTGAAAATTAGGACGTTTTAGGAAAAAATCTAAATATAGCCTCATACAAGAAGTGGCAGAAACAATTGGCAATTTAAGGATTTGAAATGTCAGTAAGGTTGCCTTTTCATTAATTCTTATTATCCTCTCTCTTTTTTTTTTTTTCCTTGAGATGTAGTCTTGCTCTGTTGCCCAGACTGGAATGCAGTGGCGCAATCTCGGCTCACTGCAACCTCCACCTCCCGGGTTCAAGTCATTCTCCTGCCTCAGCCTCCTTAGCAACTGGTATTACAGGTGTGTGCAGCCACACCCAGCCAATTTTTTTTTTGTATTTTTAGTAGAGACAGGGTTTCACCATGTTGGCCACGCTGGTCTGGAACTCCTGACCTCAAGTGATCCACCCACCTCGGCCTCCCAGAGAGATGGGATTACAGGTGTGAGCCACCGCGTCCAGTTTTATTATTCTTATCGTTGAGATCACTTGTGTATCATAAAAATCAAAGGAACACACTATATTCATGCCTTTCAAAAACCCATTTGGTATGTTCCTTGATATACCAAAATTTATTTATTTAATTTTTTTGAGATGGAGTCTTGCTCTGTCACCCAGGCTGGAGTGCAGTGGCACCATCTCACTCACTGCAAGCTCTGCCTCCCAGGTTCACGCCATTCTCCTGCCTCAGCCTCCTGAGTAGCTGGGACTACAGGTGCCCGCCACCACGCGTGGCTACTTTTTTTTTGTATTTTTAATAGAAACGGGTTTCACCATGTTAGCCAAGATGGTCTTGATCTCCTGATCTCGTGATCCGCCCACCTCCGCCTCCCAGAGTGCTGGGATTACAGGCATGAGCCACCGCGCCCGGCCATATATACCAAAATTTCTGAGATGGGTGGTAAGATTGCTTGGGCATGTTGTTTGGTAGTAGAGACAAGGGAGCTACAGGTAGAGTGGTTGCCTTCCAATATTAGCCACAAAGAGATATTTCTCTTATTTCTCTGGAAAGTGACTTACCTAACCTGGAACATATATTTCTAGGTCTTCTTGAGAGGTGGTTGGGTGTCCCTCCCCACACATTGTACTCAGAGGGCCCATTTACACTCAGTAAATTCTATGTATTTATTTGCAAATACATTTTTGTATGTGAGTGTTGGGGGGTGGGGTGGGGTAGGTGGGTGTGGGTGGGTGCTGGATCAAGTTCTTAATTTTTCTGAATAATTTCTTTCCTGCAAATTATTTTAAAACAACAAAGTAAAAAGCTAATGAAGGGCCGGGCATGGTGGCTTACAAAGTGCTGTAATCCCAGCACTTTGGGAGGCCGAGGTGGGTAAATCGCTTGAGGCCAGGAGTTTGAGATCAGTCCGGCCAACATGGGAAAACCCCCTCTCTACTAAAAATACAAAAATCAGCTGGGTGTGGTGGCATGCGCCTGTAGTCCCAGCTACTTGAGAGGCTGAGGAAGGAGAATCGATTGAACCTGGAAGGTGAAGGTTGCAGTGAGCCAAGTTTGCAAAACTGTATTCCAGCTTGGGCAACAGAGTGAGATCCTGTCTCAAAAATAAATAAATAAATGAATAAAATTAAAAAGCTAATGAAGTGGCTTGATAAGTAATGTAGATAAGACAAAATGAATTTCAATTACATTTGTGTAACTTCAGTTTACAAAGCAGTTTCATCTTTTTTTTTTTTTTCAAGACAGGGTCTTGCTGTGTTGCCCAGGCTAGAGTACAGTGGTGTGATCAGGACAGCCTAGACTCTTCCAAGCGATCCTCTCGCTTCCGCCCCTGAGTAGCTGGGACTACAATCGTGCACTACTATGTCCGCCCAATTTTTCATATTTTTAGTAGAGATGGGTTTTTCCCATGTTGCCCAGGCTGGTCTTGAACTCCTGAAGTCGAGCAATCCACCTGCCTCGGCCTCCCAAAGTGCTGGGATTACAGGCGTGAGCCACTGTGCTTGGCTCAGTTTCCTCTATCTTATTTCATTTGATCCTCCTTATGAAGTAAAAATTATCCCAATTTTACATGCAAAAAAACCCTGAAGCTTGGCTGGGCACAGTGGCTCATGTCTTTAATGCCAGCACTTTGGGAGGCCGAGGCAGGTGGATCACCTGAGGTCAGGAGTTTGAGATTAGCCTGATTAATATGGTGGAACCCTGTCTCTACTAAAAATACAAAAATAAGCCGGTTGCAGTGGTGTGTGCCTGTAGTCCCAGCTACTTGGGAAGCTGAGACAGGAGAATTGCTTGAACCCGGGAGGTGGAGATTGCAGTGAGCCGAGATCACGCCACTGCACTCCAGCCTGGGTGACTGAGTGAGACTCCGTTTCAAAAACAAACAACAACAACAACAAAAACCCTGAAGCTCAGAGGAGTTAAAAGATTTGCCTAATCCCACATGGCAAACAAGGAACCAGGTTTTATTATTTATTTATTTAAGACGGAGTCTCCCTCTGTCCCCCAGGCTCGAGTGCAGTGGCATGATCTTGGCTCACTGCAACCTCTGCCTCCCAGGTTCAAGTGATTCTCCTGCCTAAGTCTCCCGAGTAGCTGGGATTACAGGCGAACGCCACCTTGGCCATCTAATTTTTGTATTTTTGGTAGAGACAGGGTTTTGCTGTGTTGGCCAGGCTGGTCTCGAACTCCTGACCTCTGGTGGGCCACCCGCCTCAGCCTCCCAAAATGCTAGGATTACAGGCCTGAGCCACTGCACCGGGCCAGGAGATAGAGATACTTTGTAACTAATTTTCAGATATGTAAAGCAGAACAGCCTGGTTAATGAAACATTGCCATTTAAAGCACTAGTAATTCATCAGCACATGTTCATGACATAACATGGTACTGTATATCACAATAGATTGGGTGTAACATTTCAGTTCTTTTGATGAGTCTTTTTGATTTCATAGTGATTTTTTTTTTGACAGTCTCACTCTGTCGCCAGGCTGGAGTGCAGTGACGCAATCTTGGCTCACTGCAACCTCCGCCTCCTGGGTTCACGCCATTCTCCTGCCTCAGCCTCCTGAGTAGCTGGGACTACAGGCACCCGCCACCATGCCCGGCTAATTTTTTGTTAGCCAGGACGGTCTTGATCTCCTGACCTCGTGATCTGCCCGCCTCGGCCTCCCAAAGTGCTGGGATTACAGGCGTAAGACACCGCACCTGGCCGTTGCTTTTCTTATAGAGCCCTTTCTTACTGAGCAATGTGCCTCCTTGTATTATAAAATCTTTCTGATAATGCGTTAGAATTTTTTTTGTAATTTAGTAAAAGTGCTTTCCGTGTTACTTTATTCAAAGCTAGTAAGTACTTTCCTGAGTTCTGTAGTAACTAGGTGTAAAAATGATGTGTTGCAGCTTTGCAGTTCTCAAAATATTTTAGTTACTGTTATTAAACTATGAACTTTCTTAACATCACTCTGTTGCTGGATTACGGACACTGTCATTTGACTAATATTGACCCTCTTTACCTCACCCACGTGGATACACACCTCCTGTAGTTGTTTTGCCTAACAATGTCCCTTTGGGTCTGTAAGATTCTGTAAACTGTGCAGTCTTCATGATTTTCTGTACGACATATATATATATTTTTTATTGAGACAGGGTCTCACTCTGTTGCCCAGGCTGGAGTGCAATGGCGCAATCTTGGCTCACTGTAACCCCCGCCTCCTGGGCTCATGCAATCCTCCCACCTCAGTGTCCCGAGTAGCTGGGTCTAGAGGTCCACACCGGGCTAATTTTTGTATTTTTTTGTAGAGATGGGTTTTCACCATGTTTTCCAGATTGGTCTCAAACTCCTGGACTCAAACAATTTACCCGATTTAGTTCTGGGATTAGCAGGTGGGAGCCACTGTGCCTGGCTTGTTCTGTACAACTTAACTCACTGGCAAAAATACAACATTGGACCTTTCAACCACTTAGAACAATTTTTTTTTTTGAGACAGAGTCTTGCTCTGTCGCCCAGGCTGAAGTGCAGTGGCATGATCTCGGCTCACCGCAACCTCCGCCTCCCGGGCTCATGGGATTCTCCTGCCTCAGCCTCTGGAGTGGCTGAGATTATGGGTGTAAGCCACCACACCCAGCTAATTTTTTGTATTTTTAGTAGAGACAAGGTTTCACCATATTGGCCAGGCTGGTCTCTAACTCCTGACCTCAGGTGATCCGTTAGCCTCTGCCTCCCAAGTGCCTTATAAGCATGAGCCACCGCGCCCAGTCAGGAACAACATGTTTTAAATGGACAGTTGCAGAATTGTGGAGTGTTTTTATATTAATCTTTTGGTAATGCAATTAGCAGTATGTTTTGTATGTATGACTTAATAAATCCTTGAATCATTAAAAAAATAAAGAATAGCCGGACGCGGTGGCTCAAGCCTGTAATCCCAGCACTTTGGGAGGCCGAGGTGGGCAGATCACGAGGTCAGGAGATCAAGACCATCCTGGCTAACACAGTGAAACCCCATCTCTACTAAAAATACAAAAAAATTACCCGGGAGTGGTGGCAGGTGCCTGTAGTCCCAGCTACTCGGGAGGCTGAGGCAGGAGAATGGCATGAACCTAGGAGGCAGAGCTTGCAGCGAGCTGAGATCGCGCCACTGCACTCCAGCCTGGATGACAGAGTGAAACCCCGTCTCAAAAAAAAAAAAAAAAAAAAGAATAAAGTCTTTGCCTTTAAACAACTCAAAATCTAATTGTGTTTACACATAAGCAAAATATAAAGCAGAATGAGCTAAGTACTATAAATGGCTGTGTAAGAAGCTGATGAAAGAAGTCCTGAACAAAATTTGGTGGAAGTCCAAATAAGAGTTAAATGTTCTTCTCATTTTCTTTCTATTTTCTTCTGAGACAGGGTCTTGCTCCGTCGCCTAGGCTGGAGTGCAGTGGTGTGGTTATAGTTTACGTCTCAACCTCCCTGGGCTCATGTGATCCTCCAATCTTTGCCTCTGAGTAGCTGGGACTACAGGTATGCATCACCACACTCAGCCAATTTTTAATTTTTTTGTAGAGACGAGTTCTTACAATGTTGCCCAGGCTGTCTTCTCATTCTTTTAATTTACCCCTCTCCAGACAGTACACATTACTGCAAATTTCTGTTACAATCATGTTTCCAAGTCATCTTTAGAATAATTAATTTCACATTAAAACTCAGCATTCTGCAGTATCTTCAATTAATTTTATACTTCCTATTTCTTCCTTTAAAAAATAATTTCTTTAATCATTAAAAAAAATTGCAGACGGGGATCTTGCTGTGTTGGTCAGGTTCGTTGTGATCTCCTGGCCTTGGCCTCCCAAAGTACTAGGATTACAGGCGTAAGCCATCACACCCAGCTCTCTTTCTTTTTCTGAGACAGGGTCTTGGTCTGTCATCACAGCTTACTGCAGCCTCCACCTCCCAGGCTCAAGCAATCCTCCTGCCTCAGCTTCCAAGTAGCTGGAACTACAGGCATGTGCATCACGACCCGCTATCAATTAGTGAGTTTTAAATGCGAAAACTTCAGTGAAGCTTTTTGGTAAATCACATCAGTATCTCTTACCTGGATGGATGGAAACCTGGATGATAGCTGATTATTCTGTGCTGCTGCCTTCAGTAAACATTTTTATGTCTTTTCTCTTTTTGCTTTCGAAGTATCAGTGCATATATTAATATCAAATTTTGACTATGAACCAGCCCAACTTAATATGTATTCTGCACCTACAATGTATTTAGCATGTTGTGAAGTATAAAGATATCTAAGACATGGTCCCCTGCCCTGAAGGAGCTCTTCTAGTTTACTACTTTACCAAAACTGTCAGTACTTAGAAAATGTAAATTAAGGGCTGGGCGCAGTGGCTCATGCCTGTTATCTCAGCACTTTGGGAGGCTGAGGTGGGCGGATCACGAGGTCAGGAGTTTGAGACCAGCCTGACCAACATGGTGAAACCCTGTCTCTATTAAAAACACAAAAATATGCTGGGAGCGGTGGCTCACGCCTGTAATCCTAGCACTTTGGAAGGCCGGGGCAGGCGGATCACGAGGTCAAGAGATCGAGACCATCCTGGCCAACATGGTGAAACCCTGTCTCTACTAAAAATACAAAAATTAGCTGGGTGTGGTAGCGCGCGTCTATAGTCCCAGCTACTCGGGAGGCTGAGGCAGGAGAATCGCTTGAACCTGGGAGGCGGAAGTTGCAGTGAGCCAAAAAAAAAAAAAAAAAGAGGGTCACTGCACTCTAGCCTGGCGACAGAGTGAGACTCCATCTCAAAACAAAAACAAAAACAAAACAAAACACGCCCACACACACAAAATAGCTAGGCGTGGTGGTGCGTGCCTGTAATCCCAGCTACTCAGGAGCAGGCTGAAGCAGGAGAATCGCTTGAACCAGGGAATCGGAGGTTGTAGTGAGCCGAGATCATGCCTCTGCACTCCAGCCTGGCCACAGAGCGAGACTCTGTCTCAAAAAAAAAAAAAAAAAAGTCCCAATCATTCTCTACTTGTATGTATGCCCTTTTTATTTCACACTCTTGAAAAGCATTTAATCTTAATTTAATATATCTACTAGGCAATTTATACATCCTGCACATAGGCATACACGTTTGAATCAGCATTACATGAAAAATCTTCAAAGTTCCACATGACAGCTGTCACCAATCACAATACTATTTAAGTATACACTGCGAAACTTTAAAAACTTACTTATATGTCTAGCTCTTAACCAAATTTTATTTACTTTAGATCTGTATCCACGATTTTTTAGAGTAGCAATATTAAGTTGTAGTCTAACGCCAGCTGGAAGTAAAACTCAATGGTACACCATATTTCTGTATATGTAGTCACAATTTTTAATTTTAATCGCTTATATTCCACCATATTGTTATGCCATCATTTACTCCAAATGTTTTCAAGTTTTCATATTACAAAGTGCAATTACAAATAGAATTGTGTCAAAGGCAGGAAGTTTGCGTGTTATCACTTTTGTTTACATTAAAATAAATTGAATTTATTGGAATTTTAAAAAATCCAAGTAAAGAGATGTTGTTTGCTATTTACACACTGTGTAGGAGGCAAATTATCCTATGTACGTTTTACAACTACATTACTATCAGTAGGACCACGGTTTGGAAAGCCAGTTGCATACTGCTAATCTAATACAAATGTAAGGTGGCATTAACATCGCATATTCACAGATTTAAGGGCTTGAATAAAAGCTGATCAGGAAACCCCCAAAACTGCTTCTTCCCCCATCTTTGGCTTTACAGTAAAACACTGACATTCTTTCAGAGACTGTCAGACTGGGCTTATAATTTTCTAGTAAGAACCACTCAGTGAGGAAGTTCAGTTGGTCGAGGAAGAGCTTCAGCAGATGCTTTGAGGCAGCACCGAGGTTTGATCCGGCCGAGCCCCTTCTAACTGGGCTGGTCACTTGGTCTGCAGCTGGGGTGGCGCTCTTCGTGGGTGGGTAGGATGAAGGAAGATTGTAGCTCGTAGCTTCCGAGGCCAGACCTTGGCCAGGACTCACGCGGACTGCAGAGAGCCTCGGGGACTGACGATGGTTCTGCGCGCCTCCCAGCTTCTTGTCCGCCGGGAGGTTCTGCGCAGGCGCGGCAGTCGTGCGACAGCCGTCACTTACGGCCGGAGCTGTTTGTGCTGGGAGCTGGTGGCGCGGTGCAGGGCTCTTAAGAACGAACGGCTTGGGCGCGGGTAATCAGCTCCCTTTCCCCCACTTTCTCACTTATTCTAGGTACTTGGGACTGTCGTAGAGTTTCCAGACCCCATGTAGGCGCCCAGTCGTGGACTGTCCCACTCTGCTGCTCTACTGCTCGTGGTGCTCCCGCGCCCAGGTGGGGGTGAGGGGCGGGGTCGGGGGCTGGGCTGCACTCCATCCTGGAGTCTTCGTGTTGAAATCTCCCAGGTAACTCGCGGCTCTTCTTGTTTTCCAAGACTGGTATCCGGGGACTGTGACTTGCAGGGTCCGCCATGGAGCCAGAGCAGATGCTGGAGGGACAAACGCAGGTATCAGGAGGCCGTGGATTCAGGGTGGCGGTGTGCAGGGAGGCAGCGAGAAAGGGGGGACTTATATCTCTGTGACCGGTGTTTTGTTTTCTAGGTTGCAGAAAATCCTCACTCTGAGTACGGTCTCACAGACAACGTTGAGGTAACTCGCCAAGTTCCTATGCCTCATCTGTGTTGTCTCTTGCAAGCTGGAGAAAACTTGGGATCTGCTTTTACTAGGTGGCTATGCACAAGGGAAAACTTTGTTATCGTGAACTGAATAGTATCAAGTTATGGGTAGCTTGTTTTATTAGCAGTACTAATGCTTCTTGGTGTACAGACGTACAAATTACGTTTGAGTCAAAGGATTGAACTTTTATTGCGAAACACATATTCTTGAGGGATACTGTCTGAATCATTTTTCTTGGTGGCTTTTAATCGATCTTTTGGGATGTTGCTACGTAAAAACCGCATATTAAAATTAAGAAACCCTTCGCCGGGCGCGATGGCCCACGCCTATCATCCCAGCACTTTGGGAGGCCAAGGCTGGCGGACCACCTGAGGTCAGGAGTTCCAGACCAGCCTGACCAACATGGTGAAACCCCGTCTCTACTAAAAATACAAAAATTAGCCGGGCATGATGGTGGATGACTGTAATCCTATCTGTTCGGGTGGCTGAGGCCAGAGAATCTCTTGAATCTGGAAGACAGGTTGCAGTGAGCTGAGATCGCGCCACTGCACTACAGCCTGGGCGGCAGAGTGAGACTCCGTCTCAAAAAAAAAAAAAAAAAAAAGTAAAAAATAAAATTAGGAAACCTGTTGGTCTTTGTAGCAGAATAGTGAGCTGGTGGAGTCAACATTTAATAAATATTTATTTCTTTTTAGAGTTCAGTAACTCCTGGGCTGGAGTGAGAGTATTGCTGGAGCTGGGGAGGTTGAGGCTGCAGTGAGCTATGATCGCACCACTGCGCTCCAGCCTGGGTGTCAGCATGTGACCCTGTCCCTATTTCCCTCCCCCCGCCCCCCCCCCCCTCAAAATAAGGCCGGACGCGGTGGCTCACCCTTGTAATCCCAGCACTTTGAGGGCCAAGGCTAGCTGATCACCTGAGGTCAGGAGTTCCAGACCAGCCTGGCCAACATGGTGAAACCTCCTCTCTACTAATCCCAGCTACTCGGGAGGCTGAGGCAGGAGAATCGCGAATCGCTTGAACCCGAGAGGTGGAGGTTGCAGTGAGCCGAGATCATGCCACTGCACTCCATCCTGGGTGATAAAGCGAGACTTTGTCCAAAAAAAAAAAAAAAAAAAGAAAGAAAATGAGCAATACAAGTTAATTCTACTGCAAAAATGCCAACCTGCCTAGGTTGAAAATACAGCTCCCAACATACTTTCTGGTGATCTTGAACAAGTTACTGAACTTCTCTGGGCCTTATGGGGCTGAAGATAGAAGCAAATTACTTAAGAGTGTGTGTGGCTAATATTAATATTAATATTAACAGCTATTACTATTATTACTGTGCTTAGAAATGCTGTTACTCTCATTTATCCAAACTGAATCACACATGTCTTGTTTTTTTTAATAAAGCATACAGGCTGGGCGTGGTGGCTCATGCTTGTAATCCCAGCACTTTGGGAGGCCGAGGTGGGCAGATCACTTGAGGTGAGGAATTCAAGCCTGGCCAACATGGTGAAACTCCGTCTCTACTGAAAATACAAAAATTAGCCAGGCGTGGTGGCAAGTGCCTGTAATCCCAGCTACTCAGGAGGCTGAGGCAGGAGAATTGCTTGAACCCCGGAGGCAGAGGTTGCAGTGAGCCAAGATTGTGCCACTGCAGTCCAGCCTGGGTGACAGAGTGAGACTCTGTCTCAAAAAAAAAAAAAAGTTGTCTGGGCATGGTGGCTGTTAAATCGCTTGAGCTCAGGAGTTTGAAACCAGCCTACAAACCCTGTTTCTACAAAAAAATAGAAAAATTAGCTGGGTGTGACGGTACGTGCCTACAGTCCCCAGCTACTTGGGAGGCTGAAGCAGGAGGATCACTTGAGCCTGGGAGGCCGAAGCTGCAGTGAGCCCTAATTGCACCACTGCACACCATCCTGAGTGAGACAGGGAGACCTTGTCTCAAAAGCAAAAAAGATATGTACTTTAAAGATATGTAAACAATACAAAAAAAGGAGAATTTTACATTTATCCACATATTGACCATTTCTGGAGATCTTCATTGTTTTGTGTAGGTCTAGATTTCCATCTTTCCCAAAAGGTATCATTTTCCTCCTGCCCAAAGGGCTTCCTTGAACATTTCTTGTAGTTCACATCCGCTGGTAAGAAATTCAGCTTCTGAATGTCTGAAAAAGTCATTATTTTGCCCTTGTTTTTAGAAGATATTTTGCCAGTTGTAGATTTGCTTCACAGTCTTCTGGCGGACATTGTTTCTGAAAAGAAGCTTGCTATCGTTCCTATCTTTGCTCGTCAATAAATAACGTCTTCTCTCTTGCTACTTTTGAGATTTTCTTTATACCAGTGTTTTAAAGTTATTTGGTTGTGGCGTGTCTTGGTGTAGTTTTTTTTCTTTTTTTTGAAACAGAGTCTCGCTCTGTCTCCCAGGCTGGAGTGCAGTGGTGCAATCTCGGCTCACTGCAAGCTCTGCCTCCTGGGTTCACACCATTCTCCTGCCTCAGCCTCCCGAGTAGGTGGGACTACAGGCACCCGCCAACCATGCCCGGCTAATTTTTTTGTATTTTCAGTAGACACTGGGTTTCTTTTTTTTTTTTTTTTGAGACAGAGTCTTGCTCTGTCGCCCAGGCTGGAGTGCAGTGGCGTGATCTTGGCTCACTGCAAGCTCCGCCTTCCGGGTTCATGCCATTCTCCTGCCTCAGCCTCCTGAGTAGCTGGGACTACAGGCGCCGCCACCATGCCCGGCTAATTTTTTTGTATTTTTAGTAGAGACGGGGTTTCACCGTGTTAGCCAGGATGGTCTCGATCTCCTGACCTCGTGATCCGCCAACCTTGGCCTCCCAAAGTGCTGGGATTACAGGCGTGAGCCACCGCGCCCAGCCAGTTTTTTTCTTTTAATACTTCTGCTTAGGATTCATTGAGCTTCTTGGATCTGTGGTTTAGAATTTTCATCAAACTTGGAAGAATTTCAGCCATTATTTAAAAAAAATACTTTGCCATGGGACGTGACTCATGCCTGTAATCCCAGCCCGTTGGGAGGCCAAGGTGGGAGGATTCCTTGAATCTAGGAGTTTAAGACCAGCCTGGGCAACATAGTGAGACCCCATCTAAAAAAAAAAATTAGCTGGGTATGGTGGTGTGTGCCTATAGTACCAGCTACTCAGGAGACTGAGGTGGGAGGATTGCTTGAGCCTGGGAGGCCAAGGCTGGAGTGAACCAGGATCATGCCAGTGCACTGCAGGGTGGGTGACAGAGTGAGACCCTGTCTCAGAAAAAAAAAAGGAAAAAGATCAGTTTACTTATCCTTTTTTCTTTTTCTTTTTTTTTTTTTTTTTCTTCGAGACTGAGTCTTGCTCTGTCGCCAGGTTGGAGTGCAATGGCGTGATCTCGGCTTACTGTAACCTCTGCCTCCCGGGTTGAAGTGATTCTCATGTCTCAGCCTCCTAAGTATCTGGGATTATAGGCACCCGCTACCATGCCCAGCTAATTTTTGTATTTTTAGTAGAGGCGGGGTTTCACAGTGTTTGTCAGGCTGGTCTCAAACTGCTGACCTTAAGTAAGCTGCCTGCCTCAGCCTCCCAAAGTGCTGGGATTACAGATGTGAGCCACTGCACCTGGCCTACTTATGCTTTTTTCTATTGTGAACTTATAGAATATATTATAAATGTTTTTTTTTTTTTAATAAGATGAAATCTTGCTCTGTTGCCAGGCTGTTGTGCAGTGGCGCGATCTTGGCTCACTATAATCTCCGCTTCCTGGGTTCAAGTGATTCCCCTGCCTCAGCCTCCCAAGTAGCTGGGAGCCACCAAACCCAGCTAATTTTTTGTATTTTAGTAGAGATGAGGTTTCACCATGTTGGCCAGGATGGTCTTGATCTCCTGACCTCGTGATCCACCCGCCTCGGCCTCCCAAAGTGCTGGGATTACAAGTGTGAGCCACCGTGCCCGGCGAAATGTTTTTGTTTATTTATTTATTTAATTTTTGTTTTTAAGACCGAGTCTTGCTCTTTCACCCAGGCTGGGGTACAGTGGCATGATCGTAGCTCACTGTAGCCTCAAACTCCTGGTCTTAAGTGATCCTCCCACCTCAGCCTCCTGAGTAGTTGGGACTAGAGGTGTGCCACCATGCCTGGCAGGGATACATTATAATTTTTTTTTTTTTTTTAAATGGAGTCTCGCTCTGTCCCCCAGGCTGGAGTGTAGTGGCGTGCTCTCGGCTCACTGCAACCTCTGCCTCCCGGGTTCAAGCGATTTACCTTTTTTTATTTTTCTTTTTTGAGATGGAGTTTTGCTCTTGTCGCCCAGGCTGGAAGTGGCGCGATCTTGGGTCAATGCAACCTCCACCTCCTGGGTTCAAGTGACTCTCCTGCCTCAGCCTCCCGAGTAGCTGGAATCACAGGCATGTGCCACCATGCCTGCCGAATTTTTGTATTTTTAGTAGAGACGGGGTTTTACCATGTTGGCCAGGACGGTCTCAAACTCCTGACCTAAGGTGATCCACCTGCCTTGACCTCCCAAAGTGCTGGGATTACAGGTGTGAGTCACCGTGGCCAGCGTATTATGAGATTTTCTTCCCCTGTGTCACTGGAACACAAACTGTTTCCAGCCTGTGTGAGCTGCAAGGATTGTTCCTCCTGGTGTAATATAGTTTGGATATTTGTCCCTTCCAAATCTCATGTTGAAATGTGACCCCCAGTGTTGGAGGTGGGGCCTAGTGGGAGGTGTTTGGGTCATGGGGGCAAATCCCTCATGAATGGCCTGGTGCCATCTTTTGGTAATGAGTCAGTTCTTACTCTATTAGTTACCGTGAGATCTGATTGTTAAAAAGAGTCTGGCACCTACTCCTTTCTCTCTTGCTCCCTCTCTTGTTATGTGACACACCAGTTCCCCTTCCCTCTCTGTCACGATTCATTGCTCCCTGAAGCCCTCACAAGAAGCAGATGCTGGCGCCATGCTTGTGTAGCTTGCAGAACTGTGGCCAAATAAACCTCTTTTCTTTATAAATTACCCACCCTCAGGTATTTCTTTATAGCAATGCAAATGGACTAACACAAGATGGTTGTTTCCCTGGCCTTGGGTAGTTGACTTATATCCATCTATTGATAAGTATTCACCTGAAGACTGGAAGGCAATATGTTTAGTCTCTTTCTGTGCAGTTCTTGTCTCCATGCGCCTTTCTTCTCTTCAGTGCTCTGCCTTGCAAATTTTAGTTGTTTTGGTCTTCCAGAATTTTCAACTGTCTTCTCAACTCAGGGAGACTACTAGGCTCTGTTCAAGTTCTCTCTCCCTACACTTTATCCTGTAAGTTCTCCAAGCAGAAAGCAGTAAGCTGGGACAGTCATAGTACTCACCTAATTTCTCCCCTTTTTGTGATCACTGTTCTACACTGTCTTATCAGCTCATTGTTTGTTTGTGTTAGTTTGGCTATATCTATTTTTAGGTTAGTTCAAGATTTTGACAAGTGAAATTGAGCATCACAATTGGCATATAGTAGATAATTCATAAATGTTCACATGAAATAAATGGGAGGATTTGGTTAAGAAATTTATTACAGGAGTTATAGGAGTTTCTTAGGCATTGCTCTTTTTGTTTGTTTGTTTTGAGACGGAGTTTTGCTCTTGTTGCTGGGCTGGAGTGCTGTGGCGCGATCTCGGCTCACCGCAACCTCCGCCTCCCAGGTTCAAGTGATTCTCCTGCCTTAGCCTCCCGAGTAGCTGGGATTACAGGCATGTGCCACCACGCCTGGCTAGTTTTGTATTTTTAATAGAGTTGTGGTTTCTCCATGTTGGCCAGGCTGTTCTTGAACTCCTAACCTCAAGTGATCCGCCTGCCTTGGCCTCCCAAAGTGCTGGGATTACAGGCGTGAGCCACCATGCCCGGCCACATTGCTCTTTCTTATTGGCTTTCCTATTGTAGGCATTGTAATGTCATGTAACTAACAAGTTAAAATTTTTTTTCTTTTTTTGAGACAGAGACTTTCTCTGTCACCCAGGCTGGAGTGCAACGGTGCGATCTCGGCTCACTGCAACCTCCATCTCCCAGGTTCAATTAATTCTCCTGCCTCAGCCTCCCGAGTGCCTGGGATTACAGGTGCCTGCCACCATGCCTGGTTAATTTTTGTATTTTTAGAGGCGGGGTTTCACCATGTTGGGCAGGCTGGTCTGGAACTCCTGACCTCAGGTGATCCACCTGCCTCGGCCTCCCAAAGTACTGGGATTACAGGCATGAGCCACCGCGCCCTGCCAAAAATTAAAAAAAAAGTTATTATTATTTTTTTGAGATGGAGTCTCACTCTGTTGCCCAGGCTAGAGTGCAGTGGCGCAATCTTGGCTCACTGCAACCTCTGCCTCCAGGGTTCAAGCAATTCTCCTGCCTTAGCCTCCTGAATAGCTGGGATTACTGGCGCCTGCCACCATGCCCAGATAAGTTTTGTATTTTTAGTAGAGACGGGGTTTCACCATGTTGGTCAGGCTGGTCTCGAACTCCTGAACTCGTGGTCCAGCTGCCTCGGCCTCCTAAAGTGCTGGGATTATAGGCGTGAGCCACTGTGCCCGGCCTAAAATTATTCTTTTAAAAATGGTAACAGGGTCTCACTATGTTGCTCAAGCTGGTTTCAAACTCCTGTGCTCAAGCAGTCCTCCTGCCTTGGCTTCCCAAAGTACTGGGATTACAGATGTGAGCCACTGTGCCTGGCCCCGAGTAGTTTTTATTGTATACGTATACTGTGACTGGAAGTTAGGACTGTTTTTAGGAAATACACTGTGAGATTTTGAAGTTTGCCGCATTGTCTTTGTTGTGATCAGTGTGAAGTTTTGAACATAGTGGATTTTGATTTAGGGGATGAAAATTCATTCAAGATGATACTGTCAGTTTTCAGAAATAATGAAGTTGTATAGTGTTTTCTGCAATGGAAAGCTGAACTTTTACAAAGGCTCAGTTAGCATTTCTGAAATGATGGTGTGCTAATTATCTGTTGAAATTTAATAATGAAAAATAAAATTTTCAGTCCATGGACAAATAAATAGTATTTTATAGATTAAAAAACTTTGTATTTCATAGAAAATTATCTTTTAATTCCAAAATTAGATTGAAAAATTATAAGCAGAAGTTGTCTGACATAGTTATGGGAAGTGTCTTTGGAAACCATGCTATATATGTTACAGATAATGTGATTAAAGGTTTTTTCTCACTTTTACCAAAATAAAATTAAAAGTAGAAAAATTTTTCTTTGTCGACTCTTTTATATCTAGTTTGAGTATGATTGAAGCAAAAGTTCATTTAAATGAAAGTGCTCTTAGGAATACTGTTTTGTCCTTTTAGAGCTATTTCTTCTTTTTTTTTTGTCTCTTTCATTTTTTTATTTTTATTTTTTATTTTTTTGAGACAGAGTCTCGCTCTGTCACCCAGGCTGGAGTGCAGTGGCGCAATCTTGGCTCACTGCAACCTCTGCCTCCTGGAATCAAGTGATTCTCCTGCCTCAGCCTCCTGAGTAGGTGGGATTACAGGCGCGCACTACTACGTCCAGCTAATTTTTGTATTTTTAGTAGAGACAGGGTTCCACCATGTTGGTCAGGCTGGTCTCGAACTCCTGACTGCATGATCCGCCCTCTTGGGCCTCTCAAAGTGCTGGGATTACAGGTGTGAGCCACCGTGCCCGGCCTTTGTTTTTTCGTTTTGAGACGGAATCTTGCTGTGTTACCCAGGCTGGAGTGCAGTGGCATGACCTCAGCTCACTGCAACCACTGCCTCCCAGGTACAAGTGATTTTCGTGTTTCAGCTTCTTAAGTAGCTGGCATTACAGGTGTGCACCACCATGCCTGTCTAGTTTTTTTATTTTTTATTTTTCTTTTTTTTTTTGAGACGGAGTCTTTGTCACCCAGGCTGGAGTGCAGTGGTGTGATCTCGGCTCATTGCAACCTTCACCTCCCAGGTTCAAGCGATTCTTCTGCCTCAGCCTCCCGAGTAGCTGGGAGTACAGGTGTGCACTACCACGCCCGGCTAATTTTTGTATTATTAGTAGAGACGGGGTTTTGCCGTATTGGCCAGGCTGTCTTGAACTCCTGACCTCATGGTCGGCGTGCCTTGGCCTCCGAAAGTGCTGGGTTTACAGGAGTCAGCCACCGTGCCTGGCCGCAAAATTTTTTAATACATTAGTTTTAAAAATGTGAGTGCGATGGAGGCAATGAATTACTTTTTAATGCTCTGAATGTCAGTCGAATCTATTTGATAGCTCCAAAATTTGGGAATTGTGAAGAAGAAAATATAACTTGTTATTTTTTAAACTTCATTTATTTTTAATTGTAATTATTGTTTTTTAGTGTTACCTGCCGGAATGGGGAAAACTTCATTCATTTAAGTGTGACATTAATGATTTTTTCTGTTAATAATTTTCTTCATTTTGGGGTTATTATTTACATAATGTATTTTCTTAAACCTGTTCATTTTTAAAAATCATAGATTTATTTATTTATTTAGAGACAGGGCCTTGCTTTGTCGGTCAGGCTAGAGTACAGTGGCATGATCTCGTCTCACTGCAACCTCCGTCTCCTGGGCTCAAGTGATCCTCCCACCTCAGGCTCCTGAGTAGCTGGGGCTACAGGCACGCACTACCACGCCTGGATAATTTTTTTTTTTTTTTTTTTTGAGACTGAGTCTCGCTCTGTCGCCCAGGCTGGAGTGTGGTGGCGCGATCTCGGCTCACTGCAAGCTCCGCCTCCCAGGTTCACGCCATTCTCCTGCTTCAGCCTCCCGAGTAAGTGGGACTACAGGCGCCTGCCACCACGCCCGGGGAATTGTTTGTATTTTTAATAGAGATGGGGTTTCACTGTGTTAGCCAGGATGGTCTCGATATCCTGATCTCGTGATCTGCCCGCCTCGGCCTCCCAAAGTGCTGGGATTACAGGCGTGAGCCCCTGCGCCAGGCCTGATTTTTGTATTTTTGGTAAAGACTGGATTTTGCAGTTGTCCAGGCTGGATATATTTCTTTAAAAAAGAAACATAAAGGGAAAAACATTCTCATTGTGATAAATAGAGGGTAACCATAAAAATGACAACAGTGAATACAAGACAATGGTAATAAATTTTAGCTGTATTCTCTTGAGTGTATAAGCCTTGGACCCTGAAGCTTGCTCTCTCTGATGTGACCAGCTTTCTTACTATGATTTGGTGCTGTTTGGTGTTACATTCATTATTTTTTTTTTTTTTTTTTGGGAACACACTCTAAGAAGATACATGAAAAAGAGAAAAAGGATTTGTATTTACTCCTGCAAAGTCAGAAGGAAAGGGAGAAAGAGTAGGATCTTGAGACATGACATTAGAACAATGAGATAATAGGTGCTTTTGGAGAGAGAGAGCTTGAATGAGATTGAAAGATGGGTCTGAATTTATTTTGGGCAGAGAAGTTTGTGGTCTAGTACCATCTTTCTAGTCATTGATTTGCCTTTTCTATTAGTGTCATATTTCCATTAGTTTTGTTTAGCACTCAAAATAACCTGGTTATTTGAAATGTTCATGCACTGTTTTTTTGAATTCACTAGAGAATAGTAGAAAATGAGAAGATTAATGCAGAAAAGTCATCAAAGCAGAAGGTAGATCTCCAGTCTTTGCCAACTCGTGCCTACCTGGATCAGACAGTTGTGCCTATCTTATTACAGGGACTTGCTGTGCTTGCAAAGGAAAGGTAAGATAATTGTGTCCACAAATGGAGTTAGTAAAGAAAGCAAAATAGATTCCCCTATCTGAAATATCATAGTTATGTATAGCGACTTTTTACTGTGTGATTTATGGATGTTAAAGTTTTTAAGAAAGTATTCAGCCATAATCTCATAATTCAGACATTTAAATTTTTTCCCACCAGTCTTAGATCATATGCATATTTGTAAAGATTTGTAATCATGATATACATGTAATTTTGATTTTTCTTTTTATTTATTATGACATAACATTTTTCTGTATCTCTCCACAGTCTTCATGATTATAATTTATTATTATTATTGTTATTTTGAAACAGAATCTAGCTCTGTTGCCCAGGCTGGAGGACGGTGGTATGATCTCGTTCACTGCAACCTCTACCTCCTGGTTTCAAGTGATTCTTGTGTCTCAGCCTCCCGGGTAGCTGGGACTACAGGCGTGGGCCACTACGCCCGGCTAATTTTTGTATTTTTAGTAAAGAAGGGTTTTCACCATGTTGGCCAGGCTGGTCTTGAACTCCTAACCTCAAGTGATCTGCCCGCCTCAGCCTTCCAAAGTTCTGGGATTACAGGCATGAGCCACTGCGCCCGGCCTATTATTATTATTCTTATTTTTTTTTGAGACAGAGTCTTGCTATGTCTCCCTGGCTGGAGTGCAGTGGTGCAACCCTGGCTCACTGCAACCTCCACCTCACCGGGTTCAAGCGATTCTCCTACCTCAGTCTACCGAGTAGCTGGGATTACAGGCACCTGCCACCACGCCTGGCTGATTATTGTATTTTTAGTAGAAACAGGGTTTGGAGTCTCGCTCTGTCGCCAGGCTGGAGTGCAGTGGCATGATCTTGGCTCACTGCAACCTCCACCTCATGAGTTCAAGAGATTCTGCCTTAGCTTCCTGAGCAGCTCAGGCACCCACCACCATGCCCGGCTAGTTTTTGTATTTTTAGTAGTGATGGGGTTTCACCATGTTGGCCAGAATGATCTCGATCTCTTGACCTTGTGATCCGCCCATCTCGGCCTCCCAAAGTGCTGGGATTATAGGCGTGAGCCACTGAGCCTGGCCTTAAATTTTCTTAATAGCAAGAGTACAATTATTTCTCTTTCTTTAACATGTTTTCCCCAGTATTTCTCACCTAAATTCTTTTTTGTGTAAGCAAATCTAATAAGAAAATTGGTTTTGCAAGTTAGACTAGTCAACGTTTATTAGGTGCATATTCTTTTTTATTCAAGGAATAATAATAAACATTATAATAGCAAACTGACATAACTTGATAAAGAACTTGATGGAACCATGTCTCATCTCAGCCAGGTGTGGTGGGGTATGCCTTAGTCCGCACTGCTTGGGAGGCCAAGGTGGGAGGATCGCTTGGGCTTGGGCCCAGGAGTTTGAGGCTGCAGTGAGCTGTGATCGCACCACTGCACTCCAGCCTGGGTGACAGAGTGAGACCCTGCCTCAAAAAAAAAAAAAAAAGGAAATATATCATTTCTTATAGTAAAAGTGAGTTATTAACTTAGAATAGATAATTTGTTTATATAAAAACTATATGAATGAGCAGTAAATATTTGTTTTTGATGGCTATATTTGTAAATTACCATTTATTTATGACTGAGCTATATCTTGGCTCTACTATCAACAATTAAAATATGGGTATCTTGGGCCGGGCGTGGTGGCTCACGCCTGTAATCCCAACACTTTGGGAGGCCGAGGCGGGCAGATCATGAGGTCAGGAGTTCGAGACCATCCTGGCTAATGCAGTGAAACCCTGTCTCTAGTAACGATACAAAAAATTAGCTGGGCGTGGTGGCAGGTGCCTGTAGGCCCAGCTACTCGGGAGGCTGAGGCAGGAGAATGGCGTGAACCCGGGAGGCGGAGCTTGCAGTGAGCCGAGATTGCGCCACTGCACTCCAGCCTGGGCAACAGAGCGACTCCGTCTCAAAAAAAAAAAAAAAAAAAAATGGGTATCTTGGTTGATTTGAAGGTAGTGAGTTAACTCGATTGTTGATAGTCTTACAGATCAAGCTCCTTATTCTACTCTTTTTTTTTTTTTTTTTGAGACAGAGTTTTGTTCTTGTTACCCAGGGCTGGAATGCAGTGGCATGATCTCAGGTCACTGCAACCTCCACCTCCTGGGTTCAAGCAGTTCTCTTGCCTCAGCCTCCTGAGTAGCTGGGATTACAGGTGCCTGTCAGCACACAAAGCTAATTTTTGTATTTTTAGTAGAGATGGGGTTTCACCATGTTGGCCAGGCTGGTCTTGAACTCCTGACCTCAGGTGATCCACTGTGCCCAGCTGGTTTTTTTTTTTTTTTTTTTGAGACAGAGTCTCTGTTGCCCAGGCTCGAATGCAGTGGCACAGTCTCAGGTCACTGCAGTCTCTGACTCCCAGTTCAAATGATTTTCCTGCTTCAGCCTCCCGAATACCTGGGACCACAGGTGTGTGCCACCACACGTGGCTAATTTTTGTATTTTCAGTAGAGATGGGGTTTCACCATGTTGGCCAGGCTGGTCTCTAACTCCTGACCTCAGGTGGTCTGCCCTCATTGGCCTCCCAAAATGCTGGGATTATAGGTGTGAGCCATCGTGCCTGGCCCTTATTCCCCTATTCTACTCTTTTCGCCCTTCTCACTATTGCACTTGAGTAGTCTTAAAAAAAAAAAAAAGGGAAAAAAGGAAAAAAATATGGATATCTTTTCTATTTTTTTGTTTTTCCTCTAGGGAAGACTAATATATTAGAAATTTAAAATATTACTGTATTTATTTATTTATTTATTTTTTGAGACGGAGTTTTGCTGTGTTGCCCAGGCTGGATGCTATGTTGCTCAGAGTGGAGTGCAGTGGCACGATGTCAGCTCACTGCAACCTCCGCCTCCCTGGTTCAAGAAATTCTGCCTCAGCCTCTGGAGTAGCTGGAACTACAGGCGCCTGCCATCGTGCCTGGCTAATTTTTGTATTTTTAGTAGAGATGTGGTTTTACCATGTTGATTAGGCTGGTCTGGAACTCCTGATTTCAGGTGATCTGCCTGCCTCGGCCTCCTGAAGTGTTGGGATTACAGGCATGAGCCATTACACTCGGCCTCCAAATATTACTTTAAATGCTAGAAAAACTTTTGAAGAAATTTTTAAGTTCAAGCTCGTAAATACATTTAAAAAATTTTTTTTATTGTTAATTTTTTTGAGACAAGTTCTCGCTCTGTCATCCAGGCTGGAGTGCAGTGGCAAGATCACCACTCACCGCAGCTTCAGCCTTCTGGGCTTAAGCAATCCTCTCACCTCAGCCTTCTGAGTAGGTGGGACTACAGGCGTGTGCCACTATGCCAGGCTAATTTTTAAACTTTTTTGAAGAGTTGGGGTCTTACTATGTTGCCCAGGCTTGGAAGTGATCCTCCTTGGACTCCCAAAGTCCTGGGATTACAGGCATGAGCCACTGCAACTGGCCAGTAAATATATTTTTTGTTAAAACACAAATTTTTTTTTTTGACATGGAGTCTTGCTCTGTTGCCCCAGCTGGAATACAGTGGGGGCAATCATGGCTTACTGAAGCCTCGAACTCCCAGGCTCAAGTGATTTTTCCACCTAACCTCCTGAGTAGCTGTGACTACAGGTGTGCGCCACCACGCCTGGCTGATTTTTTGTATTTTCTGTAGAGACAGGGTTTTGTCACGTTGCCAGGTTGATTTTGAACCCTTGGGCTCAAGCTATCTGCCTGCCTTGGCCTCCCAAAGTGTGAGGATTATAAGCGTGAGCCACCGTGCCCGGCCCAAGTACGGTGTTGTTTTTTTTTTCCCCCCGGCCCAAGTACGGTTTTTTTTTTTTTTCTTTCCAAGACGGAGTCTTGTTCTGTTGCGGCAGGCTGGAGGGCAGTGGCTCGATCTTGGTTCACTGCAACCTCTGCCTTTGGGGTTAAAGTGATTCTCATGCCTCATCCTCCTGAGTAGCTGGGACTACAGGCATGCACTACCACGCCCGGCTAATTTTTTGTATTTTTAGTGGAGACAGGATTTCACCATGTTGGCCAGGCTGGTCTCAAACTCCTGACCTTGTGATCTGCCCGCCTTGGCCCTCTAAAGTGCCAGGATTACAGGCATGAGCCACCGTACCCGGTCAAATACAATTTTTTTTTTGAGACGGAATCTTGCTCTGTCGCCCAGGCTGGAGTACAGTGGCATGATCTCGGCTCACTGCAACCTCCACCTCCCGGGTTCAAGTGATTCTTCTGCCTCAGCTTTCTGAGTAGCTGGGATTACAGGTGCGCACTGCCATGACCGGCTAATTTTTGTATTTTTAGTAGAGATGGAGTTTCACCATGTTGGTCAGGACTGTCTTGAACTCCTGACCTCATGATCCACCCGCCTCGGCTTCCCAAATGCTGGGATTACAGGCATGAGCCACTGCGCCTGGCCCCAAATACATTTTTTAAGTAAAGAGTTCTGGTAAAGTAATTCATCATGTGAACCCTAAATACTAAGTGAAAAATCTTGTCTATTTGTAGACAGCTCTTAGGGCTGTTTAAAGTGCTCTGGGAATGTTTTGAGATCATTGTAAACATATTTTCAATATGCCTTTTCATAGCAGAGTTTAAAATAGATGTCTCCCCAATTTTTCAACTTTGGACTTGTATTCTCAGCAAGAATAATTTATATAGAAGTGTTAATATCAAATATCTGCTGTTAGTTTTATAAATGTGTTTATCTTCTTAGGTGTACTGTAGTTGTATTAAATAGAATTATTGACTTAAATTATTCGAAGAAAGAAAGAAGTAGCTTTTAGAAAAGAAACATAACCTACTTATCTGTATTAGTGTTGCTTCTTTGACTAATCACTTGAGTTCATCTACATGTCTTAGTGATGCTACATCCACTGTCCTATATTATTTTTGTTCTTTTATTGAAGGATATTACACAGAATATTACACATATCATAGGTATACAGCTTGATGAATTTTCACAAACTAAACATACCTGTGTAGCTTGCAGTCAGATCAAGAAACTGAATACTGCCAGCATCTCAGAAGCCATCCATGTGACCCCTTCAAGTCATTATTCTTTCTGGGGTAATGATCATCCCATTGTCAATACATTTTTTAAACATGTTTTAAAATTGAGTTCATAACCAGATTTAAGCCATACAAAAATTTCAGTCTCATTAAACTATTTTGTTGGCTAATTAATTTGCTTGCTTATCTCATTTATTTTATTTACTACAAATGTCCTTTGACTGTGAAATGAAAATTAAACTTAAAAAGATGAGTTTTCATTATGGAACAATATGTTTAAATTAACACACCTAGGAAATATATTTCTAAACTTTGGATTTCTTTTCCCTTACAGACCACCAAATCCCATTGAATTTCTAGCATCTTATCTTTTAAAAAACAAGGCACAGTTTGAAGATCGAAACTGACTTAATGGGAAGAACAGAAAAATTTAGTTGCTACTGTAGATTTACATGATTAAGAGGCAGCTTTAATTGCCATGATCATTCCCTCTTTTTGGATGTATAAGAACCTTCCGGACAACAGAACCTATTTCTGGAATTGCAGAAGATAACATATTTCCCTTATTTTGATTTAATCACCATAAACCATACCTATTTAATGAGTGTATTCTGTGCAATTTTTTTCTCAGATTGTCTTTAACTTTGTTTTTAAAATGACCTTCAAAATAAACTGTCAAAACACCATTATTTTAAAGTAGTTTTTGTTCTGTATGACAAATATTTTACATGATTGAATTGTTTTATGAATTTCTCTTTTTCTTCTGTCTTCAAATGCTGCAGAGTTTTACAACAGAGAGAAAATACAGCAGTCAAGTATAATTTAAAAAATTCAGCCAATTTTTCTCAGCATTGTTTCTGGACCTTTCTGAGGGTGGGATCTGGGCATCTTCAATGGCTTAACAAGTATCACAGGTGATTCTAATGTACATTAAAGTTGGAGTACTAATAAAAGCATTGCAAAGGGGATACAATATCTTCTAATGTTATCAACATTTATAGTAATAGCTGTAATTTATTGCATTCCTACTAAGTTTCAGGCATAGTACATTTTTACTTAAATGATCTCTGATATAAGCAGCTCTGCAAAGTAGATATTATTATTCCCATTTTGCAGATGAGGAAACAGACTTGGAGAGGTTAAGTGACATGCTCAAGACAACACTGCTGGTAAGTTTTTGGGAATTCAAATCCTGTTCTACCAATGTGTTGCTGAATTTCATTGCTTCTCTTTGCAATAAAAAGCAGCAGCCAGTCCTTTTTGGGGTCTATTCTCATTGTCCCCTGTGAAGAAATTGAGATAGCTCACTAGCTCAGAAAATAGAGAAACTGCCTTAAGAGAGCCAGGAAAAACATTCACTAGAGCAGTGGTTCTCAAATATGAGTGATTATCTCTCCCCACCCCCATTTCCCCAGAGAACATTTGTTGATGTCTAGACACATTTTGGTTGTCACAACTGGAATAAGGTGGGGTTCTTGAACTCCTGACCTTGTGATCCACCTGCCTTGGCCCCCCAAAGTGCTGGGATTACAGGCATGAGCCACCATGCCCAGCTAGGTGGGGTTCTACTGGCATCTAGTGGGTATAGATGCTGCTGAAACATCTTAACAATGAATAGGATAGCCTGTATGCCCATCTTCTCCCTCCCCAAGAATTATCTAGCTTAAAATGTCAGTGCCAAAGTTGAAAAACCCTGCATTAGAAGCCTATTAAAGTCGTGTGTCTCCATGCTAAACATGTTAAGGCCTTTGCAAAGTTAGAAATTTAATGTGATTGGCCGGGTGCGGTGGCTCACGCCTGTAATCCCAGCACTTTGGGAGGCCGAGGCAGGTGGATCACAAGGTCAGGAGTTCGAGACCAGCCTGGCCAATATGGTGAAACCCTGTCTCTACTAAAAATACAAAAATCAGCCAGGCATGGTGGCATGTGCCTGTCGTCCCAGCCACTCGGGAGGCTCAGGCAGAAGACTTGCTTAAACCTGGGAGGCAGAGGTTGCAGTGAGCCGAGATTGTGCCACTGCACTCCAGCCTGGGCGACAGAGTGAGACTGTCTCAAAAAGAAAAAAAATTAAAAAAAAAAATACATAAATACATAATGCTGATTAGGTATGCCTTATAATTTTCTTTAATACAGGAAATACTTATTTTAGTAGAACTGACACTTATGGGAGGTATTATGTTTTTGGTTTACATCTGCAAATCTACATATTTGAATAGGAAAAACCTGGACATACTGGGATCTTCTTATATAGTAGTTTTCATAAGTATTCTATCAAATTTATTTTGGTTATTTGGCTAACTCATAAGTTAATCCACCCAAGTCTTTTTAGTGATTTTTTAACATTTGAGTAGTAATTGGGTAATTTTTTTTTTTTTTTTTTTGAGACAAGGTCTCGCTCTGTCACTCAGGCTGGAGTGCAATGGCGTGATCTTGGCTCACTGCAACCTCTGGCTCCCAGGCTCAAGTGATTCTCCTGTGTCAGCCTCCTGAGTAGATGAGACTACAGGTGCATGCCACTGTCCCCAGCGAATTTTTGTATTTTTAGTAGAGACGGGGTTTCACTATGGTGGCCAGGCTGGTCTCGAATTCCTGACCTCAGGTGATCTGCCCACCTCAGCCTCCCAAAGTGCTAGGATTATGGGTGTGAGCCACCACGCCCATAATTGGGTAATCTTATTAAGGGATCAATAATCTTCTAGCAGTGGTTCTTTACCGACGATTCTCATCAGAGCTACTTGGGGGAACTTTTCAAATATAAGTATAAACAATATAAACATAAAAATCAATATAAAAATACAAATTTTGTACATAATATAAGTATTATTTATGTGTTAACGGGCCTCTAAAGCTGTCACCTGGTGAACATGACCCAATGGGACACAGCCTTTTTTGTTGTTGCTTTTTTTTTTTTTGAGATGGAGTCTTGCTCGGTTGCCCAGGCTGGAGTGCAGTGGCGCAATCTCAGCTCACTGCAACCTCCGCCTCCTGGGTTCAAGCGATTCTCCTGTCTCAGCACCCCCCAGTAGCTGGGATTACAGGTGTGTGCCACCATACCTGGCTAATTTTTGTAGTTTTAGTAGAGACAGGGTTTTACCATGTTGGCCAGGCTGGTCTTGAACTCCTGACCTCAGGTGATCCACCCGCCTCAGCCTCCCAAAGTGCTGGAATTATAGGTGTTAGCCACCGTGTCCGGCCTGACAAAAATCTTTAAGGCATTCTGATACCTGTGGTTAAGGATTGATTAGAAGATATTCTAGTTTTGGAAGTATAAATATTCAATACTCGACCTAGTGGTAAGGGCTGAGAATAGAAATGTCTTTTTATTAAGCTTTTTAGACGGAGTCTCGCTCTGTCGCCCAGGCTGGAGTGCAGTGGCTCACCGCAACCTCCGCCTCCCAGGTTCAAGCAATTCTCCTGCCTCAGCCTCCCTAGTAGTTAGGACTACAGGCGCACGCCACCACACCCGGCTAATTTTTTGTATTTTCTTACAGACGGGGTTTCACCGTGTTGCCCAGGCTGGTTGCGAACTCCTGAGCTCAGGCAATCTGTCCGCCTCGGCCTCCCAACGTGCTAGGATTACAGGCGTGAGCCACCGTGCCCGGCCAATTTTTTTTTTTTTTTTAAGAGGTGAGGTCTCACTATGTTGCCCAGATGGTCTGTCTCAAACCCCTGACCTCATGAGATCCTGCTGCCTTGGCCTCCCAAAGTGCTGGGATTACAGGTGTGAGCCACTGTGCCTGGCAAGGAATGTCTTTTCCTGCCAGTCCACATAATACTTACTTGAGTATTTATGTGCCAGGCAGCATGTTAAATATTTACGTGAGTTGTCATTTAATCCTTGAACCTGTGAGGTGGATTTAAGTTTAAAAAATTTATCCCTATTTAATTTTATTTAAAAAATCACTTTATCAGAGTATAATTGAACAAAAAGCTGTATATATTTAATATATACAACTTGATTACTTTGGAGATAACTATAGATCACTGAAACCATAACTACCATCAAGGCCATAAACATATTCCTCACCCCTCAAAATTTGGGGTAGGTTTAATTTTAATTTTAATACTTTATTTATTTAGAGATGAGGTCTTGCTCTGTCACCCAGGTTGGAGTGCAATGGCATGGTCATAGCTCACTGCAACCTTGAAGCCCTAAGCTCAAGTGAGCTTCTTGCCTTAGCCTTCCAAGTAGCTAGGACTATAGGTATACTGCTGAGCCTGGCTAATTTTTTTTTATTTGAAGCTTTTGCAGAGACGGGTTCTCACTGTGTTGACCAGGCTAGTCTTGAACTCGAACTCCTGGCCTCAAGCTATCTACCTGTCTATAATCCCACGGTGCTGGGATTATAGGTGTGAGAGCCACTGTGCCCAGCCTATTTGTTTTTGAGACGGAGTCTTGCTCTGTCACCCAGGCTGGAGCCCAATGGTAAGAGCATAGCTTACTCCTGGGCTCAAGTCATCTTCTTGCGTCAGCCTCCTGAGCAGGTGGGACTACAGGCACACACCACCACGCCCGGCTAGTTTAACACTTCATTTATAGATGAAACATTTGAATAATTTCCTTAAGGTTACAGAGGAATTAAGTTTTTGGCAGGGATTCAAACCCATCTTAACATTATATATATATATGTATATGTTTTTACATATACATATATATGTACAAATATATGTATATGTTTATGTTTATATATATACACACATATACATATATATATACACATATATATGTGTGTGTATATATATATATATATATATTTTTTTTTTTTTTTTGAGACGGAGTTTTGCTCTTTTTGCCCAGGCTGGAGTGTGATGGCTTGATCTCAGCTGACTGCAACCTCTGCCTCCTGGGTTCAAGCAAATCTCCTGCCTCAGCCTCCCTAGTAGCTGGGATTACAGGCGCACACCACCACACCCAACTAATTTTGTATTTTTAGTAGAGACGGGTTTTGCCATGTTGGCCAGGCTGGTCTCAAACTCCTGACCTCCAGTAATCCACCTGCCTCGGCCTCCCAAAGTGTTGGGATGGTGGCTCACAGGCGTGAGCCACCACCCCCTGCCAATACTATATATATATTTTTTTGAGACAGCGTCTGGCTGTGTTTTCCAGGCTGGAGTGCAGTGATATGATCTTGACTCACTGAAATCTGCCTCCTCGGCTCAAGCCGGTCTCTCATCTTAGCCTCCTAAGTAGCTAGGACTACAGGCATGCACCACCACGCCAGGCTAATTTTAGCTTAATACCCTATTACCTCTCAGGTGTGTCTAAATTTTTCTTTGATGGAAAAACTAGTCCCACTGATCTAGCTAGTAGATGAAAAAGTGAGTCACCAATTAGCTGGGTGCGGTGGGGCGTGCCTGTAGTCCCAGCTGCTCAGAAGGCTGAGGCTGGAGAATGGCTTGAACCCAGAAGCAGAGGTTGTAATGAGCTGAGATCGTGCCACTGCACTCCAGCCTGGGTGATAGAGCGAGACTCTGTCTCAAAATAAATAAATAGATAAATAAAAGTGAGTCACTGTAGGTAATCATAAATGATACATACTGTAGAAAGTTTTTTTGTTTGTTTTTGAGATAGAGTCTTGCTCCATCACCCAGGTTGGAGTGTAGTGGGATGATCTCAGCTCACTGCAGCCTTGACCTCCTAGGCTCAAGTGATCCTCCCACCTCAGCCTCCTGAGTAGCTGGGACTACAGGTGCTTGCCACCATGTCTGGCTAATTTGCTTTTTTTGTATTTTTCATAGAGACAGGATTTCACCATGTTGCCCAGGCTGGTCTTGAACTCCTGGGCTCAAGCAATCGCCCGCCTTTGCCTCCCAAAGTGCTGAGATTACAGGCATGAGCCACCATGCCTAGCTGTAAACATTTTTTTTTTTGAGATGGAGTCTCGCTCTCTCGCCCATGCTGGAGTGCAATGGCATGCTCTCTGCAACCTCCACCTCCCGGGTTCAAGTGATTCTCCTGCCTCAGCCTCCTGAATAGCTGGGACTACAGGTGAGTGTCACCATGCCCGGCTAATTTTTTATATTTTAAGCAGAGACGGTGTTTCACCATGTTAGCTAGGATGGTCTTTCTCTCCTGACCTCGTGATCCACCTGCCTAAGCCTCTCAAAGTGCTGGGATTACAGGCGTGAGCCACTGTGCCTGGCTGACATTTTTTTTTAAACTTAAAAATATTCTATATGAATTTGGTAATTTTTTGATTTTAGTCTTGTCTTTGGGTATGAGTTCTTTCATGGAATTCTGTATTGTCCTTCTTCCACAAAGCACACCTATGATGCATGGTCTAAAAATTTCAGTTTCAAATTTTTTGGAAGTATCTTAAGGTTTAGACCTTTAAGAATTAATTTGTAGAATGCTAGATTTGTTTTATCAGTCTTTACTCATCTTGTCTGCCTCTGACAGTTTTTTTTTAATTGAGTCTTTCTAAAACATTCAACCTAATTTTTCTACAAACGTGTCTTAGTCCTTCTGGCCTGCTATAACAAAATACTATAGATTGGGTGGCCTGTAAACAACAATTTATTTCTCACAATTCTGGAATCTGAGAAGTTCAAGATTAAAGTTGTGTAGTGAGGGCCTACTTTCTGGTTCACAGATGGCACCTCCTAGCTTTGTCTTCACATTGTGGACATGGACTAGCTAGATCTCTGAGGTCTCTTATAAGGCCACTAATCCATTCATAAAATGACTGAATTACCTCTGAAAGATCCCCCACTCATAATGCCATCGCCTTAGTGGTTAGGATTTCAACATATGAATTTGGGGGGAACACAGCATTCAGACCATAGCACACCTTTTGTGTTATGTATTTGTATTTCTTTGGCTTATGTAATGTTTAATTAAATTACGTAATGGCAGTACCTAATAGAACTGGTATAAATAAGTTGGAGAACATAATTGATCCTTGTTGGGCATACACACAAATATAGAAAGAGTGCCATAATGTGAGAGTTTCTTTTTTCTTTTTTTTTTTTTTTGAGATGGTGTTTTGGTCTTCTTGCCCAGGCTGGAGTGCAATGGCACTATCTCGACTCACTGCAACCTCCGCCTCCCAGGTAGAAGCTTCTTCTGCCTCAGCCTCCCAAGTAGCTGGGATTATAGATGCCTGCCACCATGCCCGGCTAATTTTTGTATTTTTAGTAAAGACTGGGTTTCACCATGTTGGCCAGGCTGGTCTCAAACTCCTAACCTCAGATGATCTGCCCGCCTTGGCCTCCCAAAGTGCTGGGATTATAGGCATAAGCCACCACCCCCAGCTGAGAGTTTCTTAAAGAGTGGAGCCCAGTAGCTTTAGGAGTTCAGTTTATTCATGGGCATTATTCAGTGTATTTTACTGAGGTAATGGAGAGCATCACTTAAACTCTCATAAACTGGTTAAATGGAAGTCAGTTTAGAAAGTTACTACTATATGGCCGGGCGCCGTGGCTCACGCCTGTAATCCCAGCACTTTGGGAAGCCGAGGTGGGTGGATCACCTGATGTCAGGAGTTTGAGACCAGCCTGGCCAACATGGTGAAACCCTGTCTCTACGAAAAATACAAAAATTAGCCGGGTGTGGTGGTCGACACCTGTAATCCCAGCTACTCGGGAGGCTGAGGCAGGAGAATCGCTTGAACCCGGGAGGCGGAGGCTGCAGTGAACCGAGATCGCGCCATTGCACTCCAGCCTGGGTGACAGAATGACACTCTGTCTCAAAAAAACAACAACAAAAAAGAAACTATTATATTTTGGTGTCATATATTATATATAACTGGAAATCATATAAACAGTTCCTAACCTTTGACCATTTAATGATGACGTCGTTTAGTAAATAAATACAAAGATTGAGTAAAACCTACTGTATCCCTTAAGAGTGAGTTCATGAATTACGTTGGTGGGTGGGTTAGTTGGGAGTATCAGTAGATTGAATCAGGAATAGATTCCTGGAGGAAATAGAAACCTTGAATTGAAAAAAAAAGGGAGGAGAGTGGGTTGGATAGAAGGAGATCAATCTACCTAGTTCTGATGCAGCTAAAGGAAGAATATTGAACTTTTATTTAAATGTCATTTAGGAGAAGGTACAGTGGGATTTTAAGATGGATAACTTCCTGTTAGAAGCGATAGAATCGTTTTAGGAAGAGCATACAAAACTGTAGCCAGGTATTTTCCTGGACTGGATTCCAAAATGGCATTACCAATTGGAGGCCTGATGACATATCATCAAACTGGAAAAATGAGGCACAAAAGATGAAACTGGTGAGTGGCTATAACAGAAAATCCACTTATTAAAAAATAAAATCTCTGGGTGTAAATTAGCAAAGAAGAAAAGTAATAAAATAGTGGAAAATAGGTCACTAGTGATAAAAGGGGTAGTTGGTAATGAGTAATTGTTTTTTAAAAAACCTTGCCAGCCTTTGGCCGGGCACGGTGGCTCACACTTGTAATCCCAGCACTTGCAAGGCCGAGGCAGGCAGATCACCAGAGGTCAGGAGTTCGAGACCAGCCTGGCCAATATGGTAAAAACCCCAGCTCTGCTAAAAATATAAAAATTAGCCAGGCATGGTGGTGTGTGCCTGTAATCCCAGCTACCCGGGAGGCTGAGGCAGGAGAATTGCTGGATCTGGATCCCTAGAGGCGGTGGAGGCTGCAGTGAGCCGAGATTGCGCCAGTGCACTCCCTGGGCAACAGAGCAAGACTCTGTCTCAAAACAAAATCAACCTTGGCAGTCTTTAACAAAGCTTTGTATTTTTTTTTTTTTTTTTTTTAGACAGGGTCTTGCTCTGTCAGCCTTGACTGCAGTGGCACAATCATAGGTCACTGCAGCTTTGAACTCCTGGGCTCAAGCAATCCTCCTGCCTCAGCCTCCCGAGTAGCTGGTACTACAGGGCGCGGTACTACAGGGGCGTGCTACTATGTCAGGCTAATTTGTTTTTAGTAGAGATGAGATCTTGCTGTGTTGCCCCAGGCTGGTCTTCACCTCTTGAACTGATCCTCCTGCCTTGGCCTCCCCAAATTTTGGGATTATAGGTGTGAGCCACTGTGCCTGGCTCCTTATATCTTTTGACTCTGTTGTTCCATTTCTGAGAGTCCTAAATATTAATAAATATGGAAAAAAGCTCTATGTAAAAAATTGTATTACAAAACATTGGAAATGAATAAATTTTTATCTTACAGGAATTATTAAATATCTAATGTACTTAGTCTAGTGTTCAGATACACAGTATTTAATAAATACTGTTTATTATGTTTGGTTTCTAAGGTAGACAGGGGCAAAGTTGACTGACACTAGGTTAGAACACTAGTTTTAGTTGAAATCAAAAGACCCTCTCTGTGTTAAACTCTTCTCTTGATTTGTTCAAAATGCTGTGTTACTATTGTAAAATATTTTTCTGATCTATAGGGCTTTCAGTGTTAGGGTGCTTCTAAAGCTGTTAGTTGTGGATAAGTAGAATCTAAAAATGGTCAGTTTAATATTGCTGTGTAGATTCAAAATCAAGCCTAAAGATGGAAAAATAGAGGTTTTTTTTTTTGTTTGGTATGTAGTATATGTATATGGCACAAAATACAAAAGATATGCAAAGATATACATTGGAAAGGTTAAATCCTTTTTCCATCCTTCCACCTCAGCCACCCAGTTACTTCTAGAAGTGATTACCTTCTAGAAGTATTCCATGCATATGCAAGTATATGAAAATACAATTATTCATTTCTATACAAATGGAAGCATACTTTATACATTCTGTAATTTGCTTTTTTCACTTTTTTGAAACTCTTTCCATACTAGTATATAGTGCCATTTCATTCTTCTTTTTTTTTTTAAAGATGGGGTCTCGGCCAGGCGTGGTGGCTCACACCTGTAATCTCAGCATTTTGGGAGGCCGAGGCGGGCAGATCACGAGGTCAGGAGATCGAAACCATCCTGGCTAACATGGTGAAACCCCATCTCTACTAAAAATACAAAAAATTAGCCGGGCGTGGTGGTGGGCGCCTGTAGTCCCAGCTACGCGGGAGGCTGAGGCAGGAGAATGGCATGAACCCGGGAGGCGGAGCTTGCAGTGAGCCGAGACCGCACCACTGCACTCCAGCCTGGGCAACAGAGCGAGACTCCGTCTCAAAAAAAAAAAAAAAAGATGGGATCTCACTGTGTTGCCCAGCCTGGAGTGCAGTGGTGTGATCATAGCTCATTGCAGTCTCAAACTCCTGGGCTAAAGCAATCTTTCCCACTTCAGCCTCCCAAGTACCTGAGGCCATAGGTGTGTGCCACTGTGCCTGGCAAAGTTTTAAAATTTATTTTTAGCTTTTTTTTGTCTTGCTATGTTGTCCAGGCTGGTCTCGAACTCCTGGCCTCAAGTGATCCTCCTGCCTCAGCCTTCCAAAGTGCTGGGATTACAGGCATGAGCCACTGTGCCCAGCCACTTCATTCTTTTTAATGGGTGCGTATGTATATCCTAGTTTAACAAGTTTCACATTGGTGGACATTGTGGTTGTTTCTAGTTGTTTGCTACTACTGAATGCTGCAGTAAATATTGGACATGCTGCCTTCCTTCCCTTCCCTTCCTCCCTCCCCTCCCTCCCTCTCTGTCTCTCTCTTTCTCTCTTTCTTTCTTTCTCAGAGTCTTGCTCTTGTCACCTAGGCTGGAGTGCAATGGCATGATCTCGGCTCACAGCAACCTCTGCCTCCCAGGTTCAAGCGATTCTCCTGCCTCAGCCTCCCGAGTTGCTGGGATTACAGGCACCTGCCACCACGCCTGGCTAATTTTTGTATTTTTAGTGGAGATGGGGTTTTGCCCTTTTGGCCAGGCTGGTCTCAAACTCTTGGCCACGTGATCCGCCCGCCTTGGCCTCCCAAAGTGCTGGGATTACAGGCAGGAGCCACCGCGCCCGGCCTGCCTTCTTATTTCTTGAAGTCTGAGCTTCATAAGGATTGTCTGTTAATAAAAGTTTCCTCCTTGCTCCCTACTATGAATAATGCTTATGCAGTGTCAAACCAAAATCACTAGTGGATATAATGGAAATTATTGATAATAACATGAAAATTGTACAGTATTGCCAGATAAGCTTCTCCTAAAATACAAAGTATTTTGCATTATATGAATTTTCCTTAATTTAGGGGAGGTGAATAAATGAATAGTTTCAACCTCTTTCAAGGGTATACTTGAGTAAGGTAGCTAGAATAAGGTGGACAGGGGGAATAATTGTGGCACGTATTGAGAGCATCCTAGAGATAACATAATTATCTGCTAACCTTTCAGTTCAATTGCATTGTGATCTTTATTCAGTTTGACCAGCAAGAAAATTTCAGTAGAGCATTTTAATAGGGAGAAAGCTGAATTTTAAATTAGATTACTAGTTTGGAATGAGACTTACGATTGTTGCTAGGAGTAGAGGATAATAATAAGAACAAATATTTATAAAGAACAGCTTATGAAGCATTTTAACATACCTTAATAATTCTCACAGCAAGCATATGAGTTAGCTATTACTCCTGTTTGCATTTGACAGATAACACTGAGGCTAGAAAAGGTTAAATTACTAGATGTCCATGGTCACACAGCTGATGAGTGACAGGGCCAGGACTCAAATCTGACTTTCTAATTTGAAGGGCCTGAAATACTAAGCTTTCTTTGTTTAATTGTATCCAATCCCCTCTCCACCACCCCACAACACCCCACACCTCTTTTCCATAGAAACAAAATCAGCAATAAATAACCATAAGAACCATCATCATATAAACACTTAGGGCAGTTTCCTTTTCTTGCAACTTACAACAAAACTTTACCATTTTATCAATGATCACTGAGTTTTGGTACTGTCAGAACAGTACCATGTAATCAGAGCTCAAGCCTTCTTTTTTCTGTTACCTCTAAAGTAGCTTTGGCCTGGGTGCGATGGCTCATGCCTGTAATCCCAGCACTTTGGGAGGCCGAGGCCGGTGGATCACCTGAGGTTAGGAGTTCAAGACCACCCTGGCCAACATGGTGAAACCCTGTCTCTACTAAAAATACAAAAATTAGCTGGGCATGGTGGATGGTGGTGGGCACCCATGATCCCAGCTACTCTGGAGGCTGAGGCAAGAGAATCACTTGAACTCGGGAGGCGGAGGTTGCAGCGAGCCCAGATCGAGCCACTGCACTCCAGCCTGGGTGACAGAGCAAGACTCTGTCTCAAAAAAAAAAAAAAAAAAAAAAAAAAAAAGAAAAAAGAGAGAGGTTTTGGATACATGGTATGTCCATTTTTTTTTTGTTGCATATTATGTTTTGTGCAAGTTGGTGGAGAGGGTAAAATTTGAGTAAACAAATATACAGTGGAGATTTTAGCCTAATTAGAAAAAGGTATGAGAGTCAGAAGTGTTCCAGTAATTGACTAGGCTTTAGGACAGGGATACTGCACAAAATCCTTGGGCCCTGAAGTTGGAGAAGGTGGGAGGAGGAGAGGAAACAGAATAGCACTTTTAAAAGTAAACTTGAATACTAGACAGCCAGTCATCTACTCTGGAATCTGTCAGGGGCTTGTTTAGTATGAAACTCAGATATAATTTTTTTTCTTTTCTTTTTTGAGACAGGGTCTTGCTACGTACGTTGCCCAGGTTGGAATGCAGTGGCGTGATCATGGCTCACTGTAGCCTCGACCTCCTGGGCTCAAGTGATCCTCCCGCCTCCGCCTACCAAGTAGCTAGGACCACAGGCGAAGCCACCACGCCCGGATAATTAAAAAATAAAAAATTCATAGAAACAGGGTCTCCTATGTTCCCCAGGCTGGTCTAGAACTCCTGGCCTCAGGCAGTCCTACTGCCTCAGGCCCCCAAAGTGCTGGGATTATAGGCAGGAGGTACCATGCCCATGCAGTTACAAACATTTTATAGTGTTTGCCCCAAAACTTTCATTGGATGTATGCAACTTTCTCTTCCTCTATTCCTACTTTTGCAATGGTGTACTTTGTAACAATAACACTTCCTCAGAGGTCCAAGATAGCCTCCTTTGCTGTGATTCTTATACAATTGTAAAAAAATTATTTGTTCCTGACATTTATGTGGAATACTGGGATTTATAAGATGACAAAGGTGAAAATAATATTTGTTGTAGGCTTACCCTGTCAGGCTGTTCACATTCAACAGCTCTTATAATCGTAGGTACACTCCTTGAGTGTCCCCATTTTACAGCTGAGGATAACGAGGCTAGTTATATCAAACACCTTAGTTAGGGAGATATGACATACACCTACATAAATACAACATGAAACAAGATAAATGGTTACAGTGTCAAAGCCACCATTAGGTGGTAAGAGTGACCCTGTGAAGCAAAAACTAGTATTTGCATGACCACAGGCACACTTTACCACGCGCCTGCTTCTACAGATGAACTTCCCGGCGTGCCACCCTAGGAATGAGACCTTGGGGGTGCAAATCGATGAGAGATGCCTGTATATGATGGATACCCGCGGGACTGTCCTCGTGGAAAGCCGCATCCGCGAGCCCTAGGTGCTCTCCATTTGAGGAAGTTGGCTGGGGGAGGGGGCTTGCCTTGCGGCTGCGTCCTGCTCCCCGCGCCCTGCCCCCACCTCCCAGCCTCTGCTGCCGCTAAACCCCGGAGAGCGGAGCGTGCACGTTGAGATTCCTCGGCGGGTAGGCAGCGGTGCTGGGCATGCTCAGTGGGCAGGACCCGTTAGAGTGGCGAGTAAGGAAGCGTTGGCTCTTCTCCGGGTCTGCCTTCCCCGGTTCAGGCCCCGGCCCTGGGCTTTTGTGTGCGCGTAGCTGCAGCCGCCACTGCCTCCTCGCGGGGCTGCCCGACCCCAGATGCCGTCAGGCCTGTCCGGTTTCCGCCGTTAACCTCGCCGCGCGGCCGGGAGGAGGAGCGGGGCGGGGCCGGCGGCGGGCGGCCGGGCTGGAGGGCCCTGCCGGGGGTGGGGGTGGGTGCGGGGAGCCCCGCGGGGGGTGGGGGGCGGGGGCGGGCGCGGAGTCACGGGGGTGGGGTCACTCGCGGTGGCTCGGGGAGGCCAGCTGGGAGGGGAGGGGGCCGTGGGGGCGGCTCGGCGGAACCAGCCCCGGCTGGGCAGCAGCGGGGACGCCGGGGGCCGGGGCCAGGGCTTTCCGGGCTTCGGTGAGGCCGCCGTGGGCCCCATCTTCCGGCGGTCGCCGGAGTTTGTGGTGATTGTTGCTGCCGCCGCCACCGCCCCGGCTGCCATCTCCTCCTCCTGGGCCGCCGCCTCCTCCTCTTCCTCCTCCTCCTGGGCCGGGCTGATCCCCTCCCCGCTGCCGCCTCCTCCTGGGCTGGGCCCGCGGTGTCTCGTCCCCTCGCGGAGCCGCTCCTGCCGCCGCCGCCGCCGCCTCCTCATTCATCCTCGTGCACCATAGGCGGCACAGGCACCAAGATGTCCAACCGAGTGGTCTGCCGAGAAGCCAGTCACGCCGGGAGCTGGTACACAGCCTCAGGTAGGGCCCCAGGCCGCCGGCCCGCCCGCCGCCGTCGCCGCCTGGCCCCACGCCCGGCCGGCCGAGGTCGGCGGCCCGGCCCCGCGGCGGCGGCGGGCGGGGAAGAGGGCGCGGACGGGCCGCCGGGCGCGGACCGCGTGGGGAGGGAGCGAGCCGAGGCCGGCCTCGCCGCCTCCCCCACCCGGGCGGCGGGCATCCCGCGCCGGCAGCCCGGGGCCGGCCGGCCTCACGCTCTCCGGAGTTGGGCGAGAGGGAGAGTTGCCGCCTCGGCAGCCTGCGCCCTCCCTCAGGACCAGGCTCGAGGAAGGAACGTGCTCCCGGACCCCAGCCGACTTGTCGCCGCCTCTGGCTTGCAGGAAGCGTGCGGCCGGCCGCTGCCACCCCCGGGAAGGACGGTGTGCCCGGCGCCGAGCCCCGCTTCTCCACGCCGCAGGGCAGCGACCCTCCGCCCTCTTGCCGAGCCAGGGACCCTTTCCTTTCCTCTCCCGTCTTCCCTGCCCTCCCCGCTGGCGGTCCGGGGAGTGCCCTCGCCCAGAGGGAGTTCTCTCGGTCTGCCCCCGAGCCCCCGCGCCCGCAGCCGGAGAGGAAGTCTTCTCGCCCCGTGCCTCTGGTGCTGGAGAAGGAGGCAGCGTTTCCCCGCACCTTTAAGGGGCTCCGCTGTCTTGCAGGGAGTGAAGGGTAGCACTTTTTTACGTTACCAGACTACAGACGAGGTCTCTGCATGGGGAGATCTGTCAGAGGAGGGCCTTTCAGGGATTTGTCACTTTGTATGTTGGGGCTGGGGTGGAAGTACTGCTAAGCTAGGGGCTTGGGGGTGGGGGGGCTCCCAGCTCTTCTGTCAGTGTTTGCATTGTTACTGTCATTCACGAAAGGGGCAGCTGGATATGGCATCAGCACTTTTCCCGAGCAGTCGCCCCAGTCACTGGTCGCCCTACACCAGGCAGGTGCTGGAACTACCTAACGAATTAAGTTTAAGCTTTGAGCGAGTTGAGTTTTCTGTCTCCACTGTCTAAAAGCATTTTAGACTTCTTTATGTGAAAGTGTAGGGACTTTCCCTTTAATAAAGTGCTTGTTAGAATGCCTGTTTTCTGGGATTATTTTCAGGAGTCACATTTCTGGTATGTTAACAAAGACAGTTCTACTGTGATTCCTCATAGTCTTCAGTCATTTGGTATTGGCTTGTCAATAACTAGACCTAACTTCTCGAGGTGAATCGGATCATGTTTCCTTTTGCAAAGAATTGGCTTGGAGAGTGACATGGCCTGTGAGAAAGCAAAGATTTGGAAGAAAATTCATTTCTCTGAGGTTGCTAAACTAGCTCATTAAATACATGTACCTTACTGAAATACATGACTCACTGAAGATTTTCTGTGTTAGGGAGACACAAAAGAATTGTGAGGATTGGATTTGCAGCTATAGCTAACAGGTAGCTATAGTTTTGCATTAAGCAAATATGACATTTTATGGTTAAAGTGGCTTCCATTCATGGTCCTAAAGTACTTCATAAACATTTAATCTTCCTCAGAGCCTGAGAATGCCAGTTAAATTATTCTTGTTCAGCTTATGGGGAAACATGTAGAGAAGTGGTTTTTTTTTTCCTCTCTAGACGGAGTCTTGCTCTGTCGCCCAGGCTGGAGTGCAATGGCTCGATCTTGACTCATTGCAACCTCCGCCTCCTGGGTTCAAGCGATTCTCCTGCTTCAGCCTCCTGAGTAGCTGAGATTACAGGCGCGCGCCACCACGCCCAGCTAATTTTTTGTATTTTTAGTAGAGACAGGTTTCACCATGTTGGCCATGCTGGTCTCTAACTCCCGACTTCGTGATCCTCCCGCCTGGGCCTCCCAAAGTCCTGGGATTACCGGCGTGAGCCACTGTGCCAGGCCAGAAGTTCAATGTTTTAAACTTTCGTTGTAGTTTGCATTGGAATGTGGGCAAGTGATTCTGGAGGAATTTCTATAGATTCTTGAACATTCTTTGGATAATCTTATATGACATAGCTTACACTTGGATTTGGAAAGACTTCTTTGGTATTCTAAGATGAATTCGTTAATCCAGCTCAAAACATTCTGTGATTATTGTTATTTATCAACAGTGAACTAAAGAGGACTATTCTCTGAAAAATTCTAAGTATATTCTTATTTCCCTAAATTCTGAGTGAAATCAATAATGCCATTTTTGGTAATGTGCATTGTCACAGAGAACCTTAAAATTAAGGCCAGATATGTGACAATTTTTGGGGGAGTCAGTGTGGGACTTTTTAAACTTGAGTAATAATTGAGGGTAGATTTAAAGCAATTCAATTGTAAAAGCTTATTTTGTATTTTAAAAATAAATGAAGTGCAACTACAGATAAGTAAACTTCGACTGGGTTTAGTAACACCTGTCTTTAATATTTGTCAGTGTACCTACATTGATAACATTGACCTTTGGAAAAATTGGACTTGTATTGTGTTATTTCTCTAGCATATTAGTCCTAAAAAAGTGTGAGTAATAGGAGATGGAGAGGTGTTTGTGGATTGTCATTCTGTGGTTCCTACAGCATTCAAGTTGCGTCCGTAGAATTAATGTGTTTAATTACCGACATAAATAAGGGTGAAAACACATTTGCTTTAGTTATATAGCTATTTCAGAAAAAAAGTGTGTGTACATATATAAATATTACATATATACACACACATATATCTTCTTTTTGTTTATCCCTTGTTATATGCTAGATCCATTTATAGAGAGTAACAAATTTTTTCTTGCCCTCAAGGAATTTTCAGTTTATTTGAAGTAAGTAAGAACTTTTAGGGCAGCAAATAAATATCAAGTAAGTTGAGATGTGCTTTTAGGACTACTGAGGAGGGTAGAATCATTTTGGGGTAGGATTTGAATTATGCTTTGAAGGAAGAGTATTTGAACAGGTTTGGAGCAGGGAGGAAGGAACATTGGATTGGGAAACCCCACACAGATACAGAGGCAGGTAAATGTAAATAGTTCAATTTAATAAGAATGGAAGGTACACAGGGGCATAGTTCATGAGCCTGGAGTAGTAGGCTGGTCCTAGAGTACAGATGCCTATGAATGCTAGGCATCATTGGGACTGGACTTACTCAGTTGAGAGTGAGGACCAATGGAGGTTTCTTAGTAGGGGACTAATATGATGCAAATAGCATTTTAGGAAATTTAATCTCATAGGATGATTCATTCTCACTTCTTTTTTTTTTTTTTTTTTTTTTTGAGATGGAATCTTGCTGTGTTGCCCAGGGTGGAGTGCAATGGCACGATCTTGGCTCACTGCAGCCTCCACCTCCTGGGTTCAAGAGATCCCTCTGCCTCAGCCTCCTGAGTAGCTGAGACTGCAGGCCCCCGCCACCATGCCTGGCTAATTTTTGTATTTTTAGTAGAGATGGGGTTTCACCATATTGGCCAGGCTGGTCTTGAACTCCTGACCTCGTGATCTGCCTGCCTCGGCCTCCCAAAGTGCTGGGATTACAGGCGTGAGCCACCACACCCAGCCCATTCTCACTTCTTTATGTGTGTGCAGCAGGTATCAGCAAACTAACTGTGGCCCATACTGCAAATGTAGCTGCAGCCCTTTTTTTTTTTTTTTGGTAAGGTCCAGTAGCTAAGAATGGTTGTTAATATTTAATGGGTTGTTTAAAAAACAAACAAAAACATGAAATGCTGTAGAGACTGTATTTGACACACAAAGTCTGAAATATTTACTCTTTGGCTCTTCATAGAAAAAATTTGCCAAACCCTAGCCAGTGTAGGTTAGTGGTTGTCAAAGTTTGATCTCTGGACCAGCAACATAATCTAAATGTAGTCTGTTTTCTCCAGATTTGCTACCGCTTTCATCCCATTATTTTAGGCCCTTATCATCTTCTGTCAGAATAATTACAACTGTCTCCGAATTGGACTTCCTTCTGCCAGTCCTATCCCTTTAAATCCATCTTCTGTACTGCTGCCTGAATAGTATGTTGGCCAAATCATTCCTTTGATCATTTCCTCACTGATCTATCTTGCCTCTTGGTTAAGGTCTAAGTCCCCTCATAACTTGCCATCTTCCTATCTCTATGACCGCTTTCCCCTACCCCAACCCAGTTTTGGTTTTACCCTCCTTAAGTGACATCTAATAGTTGTTCATTGTTTCTTTAAATACATCATGCTGTTTCTTATCACTGTGCTCTTGCACAAACTGGTCCCTCTGTTGAAATATTCTTTGTTGGGATAATTCCTACTCCTCTTTTGAAGACTCAAGTGTTAACACCTCCAAGAAACCTACCCTGGTGCTTTGCCTCCCCAATGTGGTTTTTGATGTTACCTGTATATGAGGTAAGCCAGGTACCATGTCTTACTCATTTTTTTGTACCCTAAGTACTCAGCATAGGTTTTGTACATAGTAGATGCTCAATAAGTATTTAACTGAATGTTAAAGTGCTTGGCATATAGTAGGCGTATAATTAGCAAGTGGGAAGTATTGGTAGCATATATGGACAGGGATACAAATGTTTACATTCTGAAGAGCGGTGGGGCTGATATGAGACTGCTGCCATTCAAGTCTCTGATCATGGTATAGATGAAGCATCTTGGTGGTAGGAAGGGATTACCAATCCTGTTCTGCCAGTTAGGGATCCAGGGAGTGTAAGATTTTTAAAGTATGACATACTTTAAACAAGTTCAGCTAGATGAATTAAGTACATTCACATAATGAGTATTCAACTCAAGAAACACATCAGTACTGGAATTCCCACCAAATGCCCCTCTCCCCATTCCATGTTCCTTGTATTTTAAGAACAGAAAAATTTTGTCTGTTTTCCAATTCTTTATCAGTGGAATTATATAGTATGTATTCTTTGAGCTTCTTTTTTTTTTTTTTTTTTGGTGACAGAGTCTCTCTGTCACCCAGGCTAGAGTGCCGTGGCTCGATCATAGCTCACTGCAGCCTCAACTTCCTGGGCTCAAGCAGTCTTCCTCCTTCAGCCTCCTTAAGTGTTGGGATTATAGGTGTGAGCCACTGCACCTGGCTCCTTTGAGCTTTTGCTCGGTGTTACATTTGTAAGATTAATACATGTTGTATTGTACTTTGTTCATTCTGTTGCGTGACAATTCCAGTTTATTCTGTTGATGGACATGTGGGTTTTTTAGTTTTGCTGCTGTGAACACTTTTATACCTTTTTTTGGTCAATGTATATGTGATTTTTGATGGATATATGCCTTAGGGTGGAGTGATTAGATCATGGTCTATGCAAATGGTAAGTTTTTTTTTTTTTTTGAAACGGGGTCTAACTGTGTTGCCCAGGCTGGAGTGCAGTGGTGCGATCTCAGCTCACTGCAACCTCTGCCTCCCGGGTTCAAGCAGTTCTCCTGCCTCAGCATCCCGAGTAGCTGGGATTACAGGTATGCACCACCACACCCGGATAATTTTTGTATTTTTAGTAGAGATGGGGTTTCACCATGTTGTCCAGGTTGGTCTTGAACTCCTGACCTCAGGTGATTTGTGCCCCTCCCTCAGCCTCCCAAAGTACTGGGATTACAGGTGTGAGCCACTGTGCCCGGCCCCATGTGATAAGTTTTAGTAGATTCTGCTAAAGTTTTGCAAATTGGTTTTACAAATTTACACTCCCACCAGCAGTGTGTAAGAGCTCCAGTTGCTTCTCATCTTTGCTAACACTTGGTATTGTCAGTCTTTTTATTTTTAGTTATTCTGGAAGGGTGTGTAGTGATATTGTAGTGTAGTTTTAATTCATATTTTCCTGATACTTAATGAAGTTGAGCATTTTTTCTTGTTAGGGACCCCATGTTTATTGGCCATTGGATTTCTGCTTTTGTGAAGTGTCTGTTAAATCTTTTGCCCTTTTTTTCTACTGGGCTGTTTATTTTTTTCATATTGACTTCTAGTTCTTATTCTGGCTACATTTCTTTGTTAGGTACATATTGCATCTATCTTCTGCCCTTTTAGAATCTTGGTGTGTCAGTGAATTAAAGCTTTTATTTATTTATTTACTTATTTATTTATTTGAGACAGGGTCTTGCTCTGTTGCCCAAGTTGGATGGCAATGGTGTGATCACAACTCACTGCAGCCTCTAACTCTTGGGCTCAAGCGATCCCCCTGCCTCAGCTTCCTGAGTAGGATTATAGGCATGTACTATCATGCCTGGCTAAGTTTTAAAATTTTTTGTAGAGATGGTGTCTCACTCTTGTTGAGGCTGGTCTCAAATTCCTGGTCTCAAGCTATTCTCCTGTCTCAGCTTCCTGAGTAGCTAACTACAGATGTGCGCCATCATCCTTGGCTAATTGTTAAAATTTTTTGTAGAGATGGTGTCTCACTTTGTTGCCCAGGCTGGTCTCAAACTCCTGGTCTCAAGCAGTCCTCCTGCCTTGGCCTCCCAAAGTGCTGGGATTACAGGCATAAGCTATCATGCCTGGCCAAATTCTTAGTTTTAAAGAAGTCCAGTTTATCAGTTGGTTAGTGCTTTTGTTGTTTCCCGTTTATGAAATCTCTACCTACCTGAATGTCATGAAGTTACCCTCCTGTGCTTTTTTCTAAGAGCTTTCTCTTTTTATCTTTCATGTTTAGATCTATACTTCATTTGGTTGATTTGAGCATATGTATGCTGTGTTTGTGAAGTAGCAGGACATTACATTAAATTTTTTTTGTTGAAGTAAACATATATTGAAAAAGTATACAAATCAAGTATATACCTTGGTGGATATGCACAGATTTCATATACCCTATGTAACAAGTCCCTGTGTTAAGAAATAGAACATTTCTTTGCTTTTTTTCCCTTGGCAAATAGTGGTTATATTATTGATGGTACATCTTATAATCACGGCTGTCATGGAATTGAGGAAATATCCAAAGTCTGATAATTTCAAAGAACATTCTTGAAGTATTTCTATGATATATATCTTAAATGCAGTTTTAGTTTTTGTTTTCATTAATTCTACTATGTTTCTAAACAATTGATAAAATTATATCAGGGTTCTATAGCTGGAAAACTACAGCTTAATTTTTTTGGCATGTACTGTAAGTTTAGGAGTATAAAATGTTTGCTGGAAGTTTGATTGGATTAAAAAAAGATAGAGTGTCAAAATAATACATCTTGGTGTGTGGGAAATTGAAAAACTGAATAATAAAAATATTTCTCTTTGGAAAGACTATATAATAAAATTTAGTTTCGAAGTGAATTATTTTATGTTACTAAATACTGTTTTCTGTATGCTGATTTTTCTTTGCATCCCATCCTATTATTTTACCTTGCAGAAAGGCAAGAAGGAAAGAACATATTTAACAGGCAAACTGTTGATATGATTGCCTGATTATTTCTAGTTTTCAGTTTCCTTGTCCTTTCACATGCAGTTTCCAAGTCAAAATCATCTCCTTCACTGTCTCCATGGTTCGTGTCAACTGCTTTTGAGTTTTTGTCCATTTGAAAGAAGATGAAAATGACAAAAACTTTCATTAAGTATATTTCATAGGTATATTACGTATGTATGTATATAATCCCTAATCTTCAAAAGGACCCTCCAAGGTAGGTATTATCTCCATTTATGGATGTGGAAACAATGACCTAAGTTGAGTAACTTGTTTAAGGTATAACAAGTAAGTTGAAGAACCAGTCTGACTCTAAAATTAGAGTTTGGTATTAGGGGCAGGAAGGTATGGGAAAATATGCTGCCCGAAACACTGAACTTACTTTATCCTACTTCATTTTCCCCAAACTGCAGTATGAATATTTAACTCATATATGTATATTATGTATATGTGTGTATTATTTAACTCATACATGTATATTATATATATATGTATATTGTGGCTTATATAAAGGATTTCCTCATACATATGTATGTATATATGTATATGTATATATGTATATATGTGTATGTATATATGTATATGTATATGTATATATGTACATGTATATATGTGTATGTATATATACACGTATATATGTATATGTATATATACACATATACGTATATACGTATATACATGTGTGTGTGTGTGTGTATATATATATATATATATTTTTTTTTTTTTTTTTTTTTTTTTGAGACAGAGTCTCGCTGTGTTGCCCAGGCTGGAGGGCACTGGCGAGATCTCAGCTCACTGCAAGCTCTGCCTCCTGGTTCAAGCGATTCCCCTGCCTCAGCCTCCCAAGTAGCTGGGTCTACAGGCATGTGCCACCACACTCGGCTAATTTTTTGTATTTTAGTAGAGACGGGGTTTCACCATGTTGGTCAGGATGGTCTTGATCTCCTGACCTTGTGATCCACCCTCCTTGGCCTCCCAAGGCGCTGGGATTGCAGGTGTGAGCCACCACGCCTGGCCATATATTTTTAATTGTTACAATAATCTTATGATTAGGTATAGGGTTGGTAATGCAGGCAAGTCTTTATTTCTACCCTCACCTTGCCATTTTATAGATGAGAAACGAAGACTTGGAGGAGGCTACGTCATCTGAGTCATATTACTTGTAAATAGTAGAGTTGGGTTTTGAACCCAGGACTTCTGGCTAAAGCTTACTGTTAAGAAGAAAAACTAAGACTTGGAGGAGGCTTGTATGAGTCGTAACTGGTAAACTGCAGAGCTAAGATTTGAACCCAGGACTTCTGGCTGAAGCCTACTGTTCTTTCCATTTATAGCTATGCCAGAGTGAGAAGTTGAACTATTTGGAATCAGTAAACATCTTTTTAATTGTCAAGTAATATCTTACATTAAAAAATAATAAACATAACTAAAAACGAATGCTTAGTATAATATAAATATAATACATATATAATTACAAAATAATTGGTATATTTTAATTAGGCTAGTCCTAACATTTGAATTGGACGTAATAAAATTTATGGCACTTCTGCCGGGTGCGATGGCTCAAGCCTGTAATCCCAGCACTTTGGGAGGCCGAGGCGGGCGGATCACGAGGTCAGGAGATCGAGACCATCCTGGCTAACACGGTGAAACCCCGTCTCTACTAAAAATACAAAAAAATTAGCCGGCCGTGATGGCGGGCTCCTGTAGTCCCAGCTACGCGGGAGGCTGAGGCAGGAGAATGGCATGAACCCGGGAGGCGGCGCTTGCAGTGAGCCGAGATTGCGCCACTGCACTCCCGCCTGGGTGAGAGAGCGAGACTCCTGTCTCAAAAAAAAAAAAAAAAAAAAAAATCAAAATTTATGGCACTTCTGAAGAGGCTTTATTTAATATTCAGCAATTCAATATTGAACGAATCAATTTCTGCTATGTGAAAGGCACTGCTGATGGGACTAGGTGTATAGCAGGGGATGAAACAGACTAAAATTCCTGGAGTTTACATTTTAATTGCGGGGACAGATGATGGATAAAGTAAGGAAAATTGGGTGCATGTTCTCAGGACCTCTTGAGGGCTATGTCATGGAAAAAAAAAAAATATGTGGTATGCTAGATAGAGGAAAGTGCTATGGAGAGTAACAAAGCACAGCTGGTGCATAGGGAATGTTTAAAGGCTCAGGGGTCCAGGCTGCAATATTAAATAGCATTGAAAGGGAAGACTTCGGCCAGGTGCGGTGGCTCACGCTTGTAATCCCTGCACTTTGGGAGGCCGAGGAGGGCGGATCACTTGAGGTCAGGAGTTTGAGACCAGCCTGGCCAACATGATGAAACCCTGTCTTTACTAAAAATACAAAAAATTGGCCGGGCACGGTGGCTCACGCCTGTAATCCCAGCACTTTGGGAGGCCGAGGCGGGCGGATCACGAGGTCAGGAGATCGAGACCATCCTGGCTAACACGGTGAAACCCCGTCTCTACTAAAAATACAAAAAATTAGCTGGGCGTGGTGGCAGGTTCCTGTAGTCCCAGCTACTTGGGAGGCTGCGGCGAGAAGAGTGGAGTGAACCCAGGAGGCGGAGCTTGCAGTGAGCTGAGATCGCACCACTGCACTCCAGTCTGGGCAACAAGAGTGAAACTCCGTCTCAAAAAAAAAAAAATAAGTAAAAAGGAAGACTTCACTGAGATGTCATTTGAGTAAAGACTTGAGCTGGGTGCTGTGGCTCAGGTCTGTGATCCCAGCACTTTGGGAGGCTGAGATGGGAGGATTGCTTGAACCCAGGAGTTGGAGACCAGCCTGGACAAAAAAGTGAGACCATCATCTCTACAAAAAATAAAAAAATTAGCTGGATGTAGTGATGTGCTGATGTGTGCTTGTGGTCCCAGCTACACAGGAGGCTGAGGCAGGAGGATTGCCTGAGTCCAGGAGGCTGCAGTGAACCATGTTTCACCACTACGCTCCAGCCTGGGCGACAGATTGAGGATTTGTCCAAAAAAAAAAAAAAAAAAAATGCCTGATGCAGGTGAAAGAACAAGCCTTGTATTGTACATTATCTGGGGATAGATGATTTTAGGCAGAGGGTACAGCAAATTCAAAGGTTCTGAGGCTAGAGCAGGCCTGGAATATTTGAGGAACACCCAGTAAGCAAGGTCATTGCAGCTGAAATGAAGTGAACTGGAACAGAGTAGTATCATATGAGTTAAGAGGTGGCTGGAGACTTTTTGAGACAGGGTCTTGCTCTGTTGCCCAGGCTAGAGTGCAGTGGTGCAATCATAGCTCATTGAAACCTTAACCTCCCGTGCTCAAGCGATCTTGCCACCTCAATCTCCTGAGTAGCTGGGACTACAGGCAGGCACCAGCGTGCCTGGCAAATTTTTGTATTTTTGGTAGAGATGGGGGGGCGGGTCTCACTATATTGCTCAGGCTGGTCTTAAACTTGTGGACTGAAGCAATCTTCCTATCTCAGCCTCCCAGAGTGCTGGGATTACAGGTATGAGCCACTGTGCCTAGTCTAGAAAGGACTTTTACTTGAGTCAGATGGTCATTGGAAGGTTTTGGGCAGTTGATGGCATGATCTAATGTAGATTTAATATAATTACTTGGCTGCTGTGATGAGAGTAGTTGAAGGTTGGGGAGTGGTGAAAGCAGTGGCAAGGGCAGAACCAGGGAGACCAGTTAGGAGGAAAGGAGTAATCCAACTGTGAGATGATAGTGGCTTGAAATGAGTAGTAACAGTGGAGATGGTGAGAAGTGATTGGTTGTTGAATATATTTTGAAGATAGAGCTGAGAGGATTTGCTGACATACTTGAAGTATGGAGTGCGAAAGAAAGAAAGGAGTCATGGTTATCTCTTAAGGTTTATCCCTGAGCATTAGCAGTGATGGAGTTGCTATTATACTGAGATAGGGAAGATCTAAGAGGAACAAGTTTGGCGGGGGAAGGTTAGGAGCTCAATTTTGTTATTTTAAGTTTGAGATGTTCACTGTACAGTCAAGTGTATGTATGAGTCTGGAGTTTAGGGAAGTGGTCTAGACTGGAGATTTAAAAGTGGAGATTAGCATCATATAGATGATTTTTTCTTTTTTTTTTTTTTGAGACGGAGTCTCACATTGTCTCCTGGGCTGGAGTGCAATGGCATGATCTCTACTCACTGCAATGTCCGCCTCCTGGGTTCAAGTGATTCTCCTGTCTCAGCCTCCCGAGTAGCTGGGATTACAGGCGCCCACCACCATGCCCAGCTGAATTTTTGTATTTTTGGTAGAGATGGGGTTTCTCTATGTTGGCCAGGTTGGTCTCGAACTCCTGACCTCATGATCTGCCCACCTTGTCCTCCCAAAGTGCTGGGATTATAGGCGTGAGCCACTGTGCCCAGCCATAAATGATTTTTAAAGCCAGGTATCTGGATGAAATTACCATGGGAATGAGAATAGTTAGACAAAAGAGGTTCAGTGACCAAGCCTTAGAACATTCCAACATGAAGAGGTTGGGGGGATGAGGGAGATCCTATAAGGAATACAGATTAAGCATCTCATGAGGAGGAGAATGAGATGTCCTGGGAACCAAGTAAAGAAAATACTTCAGGCCAGGCTTGGTGGCTCATGCCTGTAATCCCAGCACTTTGGGAGGCCGAGGTGGGAGGACTGCTTGAGCTCAGGAGTTCAAGACCAGCAACTTAGTGAGACCCCCGTCTCTACAAAAAATAACAAAAATTAGCCAGGTGTGGTTGGCACATGCCTATCTATAGTCCCATATACTGTGGAGGCTGAAGTGGGAGGATTGCTTGTGCCTGGGAGGTTGAGGCTGCAGTGAGCTGTGATTATGCCACTGCACTACTTCAGCTTGAGTGACCGAGTGAGATTCTGTCTCAAAAAAAAGCTTTAAGTTGAAGACATCTCAGCATAATTTATGTAGATTTGCCTGGGCATTTTTCTGTGAAACACATATGTGTAAGTCTGGTCTAAGCCATTCTCGTCTTAGCCATTTCCTGTGTTACTGGGAGAGCTTCCTACTGGTTGCCCAGTTTCCATTCTGTTCTTTACACAGAGGCAAAGAAATCTTTTTGAAAATGTAGATTCGATAATATCCTTTTCTTAATCTCCCCTCCCCCAATTACATAACCACATTCCAACTTCTTACCACAACTTACAAGGTCTTACATACTATGACCTCTGCTTAACTTTCTCATTTTATCTACCATTTTTCCTTTCACCACATTATTCCAGCCATTCTGGGCTCCTTGCTGTTCCCCAAGTATGTCAAGCTTATTCCTGCTTTAGGACTTTTTCAGATACTTCATAAGATTGACTAATTCTGACTGATGGTCAAGGAAAGGAAATTTGTATTGATTGCCTGATTTTGTTAGTCACAGGAGGAGAGAAAGGAAGAGATGTTGAAAATGGTTCAACATCTGTAAGGAATACAGATTAAGCATTAAGTTTGAGACCAGCCTGGCCAACATGGTGAAACCCCATCTCTACTAAAAATATAAAAATTAGCTGGGTGTGGTGGTTTGTTTCTCTGTATATAGTGTGTCTTTCTGAATATAGTGCGTATATTCTCTGAGTATTTGTTTCTCTGAATATAGTGTGTCTTTTCTTCAGGTTGCTTGACGATTTCTTATTACATTTTACTGCTGTTATCATGTACCTTTGAATAGTTTTGAGTTTATCCTGTTTGGGGCTTACTATGATTCTTGGATGTCTGAGTTATAGTTTTCAGAAAATTTGGAAGTTTTTTGTCTTTATTATTACCTCAAGTATTTTTTTCATTGAGGTCCCTGACCTCAATGTGTTCTGGGAGACAGTAGTCTCTGGAGATGCCTTTTGCAGAAAGGGTTTATGGTCAAATAAGTTTAGGAACTATTACATCTGTTTTTCTCCCTTGAGCCCTGACAGCTCACAGTAGACTTGTGGTGCATTACAAGATCTGTCTTGGCGAGTGTTCTATGTTCAGTCTTGGTGAGTGTTCCATGTTCTTTTGAAAGTAATATGCGTTCTCTGCTGGGCATAGTAGTTCATGCCTGTAATCCTAGCAATTCGGGAGTCTGAGGCAGGATGATTGCTTGAGCCCAGGAGTTCGAGGCTGCATTGAGCTATGATTACACGACCACACTCCAGCATGGGTGACAGAGCACGACCTTGACTCCTAAAGAGTATGTATGTTTTCTGTAGTTATGGGGTGGAATGCTCTATAAATGTTAATTAGATTAAGTTGGATTATTGTATTGGAATCTTCTGTATTCCTATTGATTTTCTTTTCACTATTTCTATGAATTCTTAAGAGCAGTGTTGAAATTTCCATCTATAGATGGGGATTTGTCTTATTTTTTCTTTTAGTTTCCTTTTTTTTTGAGATAGGGTGTCACTCTGTTGCCCAGGCTGGAGTGCAGTGGCACGATCTCAGCTCACTACAACCTCCGCCTGCCAGGTTCAAGTGATTCTCCTGCCTTAGCCTCCCTCAGCTGGGACTACGGGTGTGCACCACCACACCCAGCTAATTTTTGTTTTTAGTAGAGATGGGGTTTCACCATGTTGTCCAGGTTTGTCTCGAACTTCTGACCTCAAGTGATCCGCCCGCCTTGGCCTCTCAAAGTGCTGGGATTACAGGTGTGAGCCACCGTGCCATGCCTCTTTTAGTTTTCTTGATTCATTGTTTCTTTCTCTCTCTCTCTCTTTCTCTCTCTCTCCCCCTCTGTCTCTCTCTCTCCCTCTCCTCTCCCTCTCTCTCCCTTCCTCCCTCCGAAAGTGCTAGGATTATAGGCATGAGCCACCATGCCTGGCTGTTTTATGTATTTTTGATTTTATATTATTTGGTGTGCATATTGGGATATATGTTTTCTTGATGAATTCACTCTATCGTTACGCCCTTCTTTATTGAAAGGTAGTTTGGTAGGTATTAAGTTTTTGGTGTGTTGTAGCACTTTATAAATTTTGTATTGTATTTTGGCTTAGCATAGCTTCTGGAAGTCTATGATTTTTTTATATTTGTTTCTCTGAATATAGTGTGTCTTTTCTTCAGGTCGCTTGACAATTTCTTACTTATTACCATTTTCCTGCTGTTATCATGTACCTTTGAATAGTTTTGAATTTATCCCTTGGGGCTTACTGTGATTCTTAGATGCCTGGGTTATAGTTTTCAGAAAATTTGGAAATTTTTCATCTTTATTATTACCTCCTTGAGGATTTTTTTTTTCTCTTTTTGTATTTCTGACACTCCAGTCACATATATCTTGCATAGCTTAATATTCTCCCACAGTTCACTGAGAATGTTCCCCCCCTTTTTTTCTGTTTCCTTTTGTATAATTTATTTTGCTTTGTTCTCAAGTTCAGTGATCTTCTGCAGTATCTAATTTTGCTTTTAATTCCATGAATGAAACTTTTATATCAAATATTATAATTTTCATCTCTATATTCCATTTGATTGTCTTATTTTCTTTTTTTGAGATAGAATCTCACTCTATTGCCCAGGCTGGAGTGCAGTGGTGCAATCTTGGCTCACTGCAACCTCCACCTCCCAGGTTCAAGCGATGTGCCTGCCTCAGCCTCTCCCGAGTAGCTGGGATTACAGGTGCCCACCACCTCACCCGGCTAATTTTTGTATTTTTAGTAGAGATGAGGTTTCACCATATTGGCCAGGCTGGTCCTGAACTCCTGACCTCAAGTGATTCACCCGCCTCGGCCTCCCAAAGTGCTGGGATTACAGGTGTGAGCCACCGTCCCTGGCCAATTCTCTTATTTTCATATATTCATGTCATTTAGATTTTTGGGCATATTGAATATTTCTACAATAGCTGTTTTTTTAATCTATAATTTCTGGGTCTGGGTATAGTGAATTATTTTTCTTCCTGTTTATTGGTCATGTTTGCCTGCCTGCCTTCCTCCCTCCCTCCCTCTCTCCCTCCCTCCCTTCCTCCCTTCCTCTCTCCCTCTTTTCCTCCCTCCCTCCCTTGCTCTACCTCCACCCCCACCGCAAGGCACGAGTGCCTTGGCACAATCACAGCTCACTGCAGCCTCGACCTCCAGGGCTCAATTGATCCTCCTGCCTCAGCCTTCTGAGTAGCTGGGACTACAGGTGTGCACCACCATGCCCGGCTAATTTTTGTATTTTTGGTAGAGACAGGTTTTTGCCATGTTGTCCAGTCTGGTTTCCAACTCCTGGGCTCAAGTGATCCGCCTGCCTTGGCCTCCCAAAGGCTGGGATTATAGGCATGAGCCACTGTGCCTGGCCGTATGTCTATTATTATTATTATTATTATTTTTTTTTTAGACAAAGTCTGGCTCTGTCACCCAGGTTGGAGTGCAGTGGTGCAATCTCGGCTCACTGCAACCTCCACCTCCCAGGTTCAAGTGATGTCTTGTGCCTCAGCCTCCTGAGTAGCCGGGACTGCAGACACGCACCACCACGCCTGGCTAATTTTTGTATTTTTAGTAGAGATGGGGTTTCACCATGTTGGCCAGGTTGGTCTTGAACTCCCAACCTCAGGTGATCAGCCCACCTCCGTCTTCCAAAGTGCTGGGATTACAGGTGTGAGCCACCACGCCCGACCTCTCTATTAATTTTTATTGGATGCCAGACATTGTGACTTTTATCTCGAGTATGATATTTGTGGTATTCATTTAAGAAGTATTGAGGTGGCCGGGTGTGGTGGCTGATGCCTGTAATTCCAGTACTTTGGGAGGGCGAGGTGGGCAGATCACCTGAGGTTGGGAGTTCGAGACCAGCCTGGCCAACATGGTGAAACCCTGTCTTGACTAAAAATACAAAAATTAGCCAGGCGTGGTGGTGCACGCCTGTAATCCCAGCTGCTCGGGGGGCTGAGGCAGAAGAATCACTTGAACCTGGGAGGCAGAGGTTGCAGTGAGCCGAGATCATGTCACTGCACTCAAGCCTGGGCGACAGAGCAAGACTCTGTCTCAAAAAAAAAAAAAAAAAAAAAAAAAAAAAGAAAGTATTGATGATATTTCTGTATTTCTGGCAGACAGCAACAGCATTACTTATGGATCATTTTTATAGTTTTCTGACTTGTTTTACAATTTTTTAGGATAAAAAATAGGATAGTTTGGCCTTGGTGGAGTTCTATCATTAAAGCTTTACTCTTTTGGGGCCTGTTCTAAATCTGCCATATAATCAGTGAGGTATCTCCACTCAGACTGGTGATAGCTCCAATGATTTTGGCCCACTGAGTTCTAGAAATTGTTCTTTCCCCAGAAGAGTTTCTTTGGCTTTGTGGAGTTTTACCCTGTGCGTGGGCAGGTTGTGGTATTAAACCAAAAACCTGAGTGAACCCCTTTGCAGATTTCCAGAGTTCTTTGTTGTTTAGCTTCCTCTTCTCCAGAATTCTGATCCGGAAATTCTAGCCACCTAGCCTTCTCAAACTTCAGTATGGCAAATTTTAGTGATCCCACCCAGGTCTGTGCTCCTCTTCACTGGGCAGTAGTTTATAAGTTGTCTTCTGGCAGAATTCTGGGTCATTTAAAATCTCATTTTGTTTATTTCCTTTTCCACAGTCCTGTTGCCCATGTAGTCTAATGTCTGAAAAAATAATGCAATGCATATTTATATGTTTTGTCTAGTTTTTGTAGTTGTATATGGATGTAGGTTGTTTGGACCTGTTACTTCCTCATGAGTGGAAATATAATTCATGCCACTATAGTTTTAATGTGTATTTTTCTTAGTATGAGTGAGGTTGAGCATGTTTTCATATCTTTCTTTCTTTTTTTTGAGACAGGGTCTTACTGTGTTGCCCAGGCTGGAATGCGGTGGCACAGTCATAGCTCGCTGCAGTCTCAAATTCCTTGGCTCCAGTGATCCTCGTGCATCTGCCTCCTGAATAGCTGGGACTAGAGGCATGTGCCACTATTTGTAGAAAAATCGACCCTTTTTTTCCTGTGACATTAGTTGGAAGCATTTTTTTCCCAGTATCCCATTTGACTTTTGATTTTCTGATGATTTTTTTTCCATAGTTTTCAAATATGTATTTTAGTTAATTGTTTCTTCCAATTGCTTATATTTATTATCTTTAGTGTTTTTTGGACATATCTGGGTGTTCCCCATTTAATTCTCTATAAATGCTCCTTATTATTTTATTAATTCATTTTTTTTTTAAATTTGAGACGGAGTCTCACTCTGTCACCCAGGCTGGAGTGCAGTGGCACGATCTCGGCTCACTGCACCCTCCATCTCCTGGGTTCGAGTGATTCTCCTGCCTCAGTCTCCCGAGTAGCTGGGATTATAGGCTCCCGCCACCACACCCAGCTAGTTTTTGTATTTTTGGTAGAGATGGGGTTTTGCCATGTTGGCCAGGCTGGTCTCGAACTCCTGAACTCAGGTGATCCACCCACCTCGGCCTCCCAAAGTGCTGGGATTAGAGGTGTGAACCACTGTGCCCCGCCCATTAATTCACTTTTGACATTTCAGTCTTTTATCCATTTGGAATGTATTGTGATATGAGATTTGAGATATGAACCCACTTTTGTTTATTGCCATGACACCTCTTATCTCTGTAAAGGATCAGATAGTGAATATTTTAGGCTTTGTGGGCCATATGATCTGTGCCTTTGCAGCTAGTCAACTCTGCCCTTGTATTGTGAAAGCAGCTATAGTTAATATGTAAGTGAATAACTGGCTGTGCTTCAATAAAACTTGATCTATAAAAAAATGGTGGTGAAGCAGATTTGGCCTCCCAATTGTTTCCTCAGCCCTGACCTAGGCTTAAGAATTCTGTTGGAAATTATGGAGAGCGACTAATCCATGTGGAAAGAAATATGCCTTTTTATGTTGACTATTAGGAAAAGTGACAGAAATAATTTAAGAATTTTTGTTAAGCTGATATTCTTATAAAATTTGGAAACTTCTCACAATTTCAGAATATTCCTCTGAGATGCAAGCGAAGGTTGAGCTACTTGTGACTGAAGGCTCAAGCAAAAGACAACTTTTAAGTATAAGGGAGTTAATAAAATAACTGCTGATTTTACCTGGCTATTTTCTTATTAATTACTTAATAATATTTTGTTTTTTCTATAGATGATGGATTCATTTATAGGTTTAAAAAAACATTTCCCTCCTGTGTCTTAGAAATCAGATTGACCAGTGCTTACTCTTCTAGTATGAGCGTTTAGTTGCTGACAGCACTGTTTTGCCTCAGAGCCAATAAAAAGAGTAAGATTTTTTGTTTTTCTGAGATCAGAGCAACTTAGAAATTGGAAATGTTTGAATTATGGCTTAATATTGGCTTAGAATTATTTTACACTTAATTAAATTAAATTTTAAATTAAAAACTTTTGTATACATTCCTGTGTGTGTTGTGTTTTTTTTTTTTTTTTGAGTCGGAGTTTTGCTCTTGTTGCCCAGGCTGGGGTACAATGGGGCGATCTTGGCTCACTGCAACCTCCACCTCCCAGGTTCAAGCGATTCTCCTGCCTTAGTCTCCCAAGTAGCTGGGATTACAGGCATGTGCCACCACACCCAGCTAATTTTGTATTTTTAGTAGAGACGGGGTTTCTCCGTGTTGGTCATGCTGGTCTCGACCTCCAGACCTCAGATGATCCTCCCACCTCGGCTCCCAAAGTGCTGGGATTACAGGGGTGAGCCACCGCGCCCGGCCCATTCCTGTGTTTTAAAAGTCAAAAATATTGAGAAGTCTCATTCCTGCATTGTCCTTGTGTATTCCATGTTCCCCTTCCCTTATAGGTGGTTGCTTTTATCAATTTCTTATGTGTCTGTCTATCCAGTGATTGTTTATGCATATATAAACACACGTGACTATAAGTCATCATTTTCTCTTTTTCAGCAAGAGCTAGCTTGTATAGTTATTTTATATTTGGCCTTTTTGTAGTTAACAAATTTGATAGTTGAAGATCTTTTCATATTATAACATAGTCATTATTTTGCTTTTGATACCCCCCTTTTTTGGGTGGCTCCTTATTCTGGTTTTTCAGAGGAAGATATGACACATTCATTAAGGTGATTCAATATAGTGCATATCTAAATAATATATCATTTGTTCTCTTGCTAGTCTCAGCGAAATGTCATTTGCTCTTGTGTTAGTCTCTTGTCAGTCTCAGAATCTCTTTATAGCCTTCAAAATTATTGATAGCCCTAAAGAGTTTTTATTTATGTGGGTTATGTATATCACTAGATATCAAATCAGAAACTAAAACTGAGAAGCTATAAAAGTTACTTACTTTTGGCTAGGCGTGGTCGCTCATACCTGTAATCCTAGCACTTTGGGAGCTGAGTGGGCAGATCACTTGAGCTCACCAGTTCAAGACCAGCCTGGGCAACATGGCGAAATTTGTCTCTACCAAAAAAAAAAAAAAAAAAGAAAAAAAATTTAGATGGCTTGAGCCTGGTAGGCAGAGTTTGTAGTGAGCTGAGATCATGCCACTGCACTCGAGCCTGGGTGACAGAGCCAGACCTTGTCTCAAAAAAAGAAAAAACCAAAAACACCCCAGACACCAAAAACCAGCCAACCAACCAAAGTTATTTACTGTTAATTTATTTAAAAATAGCAATAATAAACCCATTACATGCTAACATAAATGACATTTTTAATGAAAATAACTATCTTTCGGAACAAGAAGAGTATGAGAAGAGTGGCATTTGTTATAGTTTTGCAAATATCTTTAATGTCTAGCTTAATAGAAAATAGCTGGATTCTCATATCTGCTACTGCATTCAGTGTTGTGATATGTTGTTTTGCTTGAAGCATATGGAGAAAATCTGGCCTCACCCAGATGTAAATTTGGAAGAGGGAGGAGTATTTTATTTAATTTTTTGAGACAAAGTCTTGCTCTGTCGTCCATGCTGGAGTGCAGTGGCATGCTCATGGCTCATTGCAACCTTGACCTCCTGGGCTCAAGCGATCCTTCCTACTCACTTTCCTAGTAGCTGGGACTATAGGTGTATACCACCATGCCCGGTTAATTTCTGTATTTTTTGTAGAGACAGGGTTTCACCATGTTGCCCAAGCTGGTCTTGATCTCCTGGGTACAAGTGATCTTGTCTACTTCGGCCTCCCAAATTGCTGGGATTACAGGTGTGAGCCACCACACCCGGCCAAAATTATTTAATAGACTTTCCAGATACTTATGGATAGCCATATTTAACGCTATACTGAAACTCTACATGCGGTAGTTCCTTTTTTAAAAAAAATCATTTTATTGAGATATAGTTGATAAGTTACATATATTTAATATATCTATGAAAGTCAACACAATCAAGATGTACCTTTTGAAGGTAATTTCTTAAAGATTAATTGCAGTGTAGAATTTGAAACCATCTCAGTAAAGTTTTCATATTGTGTTTTCATTAAGATCTATGAATCTAGTTGGTTTATCCTCCACTTTGGTTGTATCTTTTTTCCTTGCAGGAATTTTCAAACATCATGCATTAGTCAGTTGGAAAATATTTGTTTATTGAGTTACGCAGATCTTCTAAATGTTTACACATTTCATTATTTGTTGTCAAAGAATCACACCTGTTAATATCGTCACCATTCTCTTTAGAAAAGTGTTTTTGACTTGGGAAGTTGTTAAGCCCATAGTGGTAGAAACTATGTTTTGCAAAATTCGAATTTTTTCGAAGCTTAAATATTGTTGGTTACTTTCCCTGATGTGACAAGCCCACTAGTCATTTTCTTTCTTTCTTTCTTTTTTTTTTTTTTTGAGACAGAGTTTTGCTCTTGTTGCCCAGGCTGGAGTGCAATGGCGCGATCTTGGCTCACCGCAGCCTTTGGCTCGGCTCACCGCAACCTCTGCCTCCTGGGTTCAAGCGATTCCCCTGCCTCAGCCTCCTGAGTAGCTGGGATTCCAGGCACATACCACCATGCCTGGCTAATTTTGTATTTTTGGTAGAGACGGGGTTTCTCCATGTTGGTCAGGCTGGTCTCAAACTCCCGAACTCAGGTGATCTGCCTGCCTTGGCCTCTCAAAGTGCTGGGATTACAGGCGTGAGCCACCATGCCTGGCTGCCCACTATTCATTTTCAAGGAAATAACTTTCAGATACCCAAGAGTAAGTAACTAGTTGTTCTTTCAAGAGAAATGGTGGTCTATAAAAAAGCACAGTTCAGCTTGCAACTCTCATAAGATGCTTTTTCTTGAGACAGCCATCTTTCTACCCATTTAAGTGCACAGAATATTAAGAAGTTGTATACTTAAGGGCAAAGATTTAATGTGTAATATTTGCAGCTATATCAAGGACATTCTTAAGTGAAACTGGCTTTAAAAAATTTGGTGAGTGTTTGGTAATGAAGAATGTAGTGACTACTACTGTAGTTCGGTGCTACTGCTAATGAGACAACAGCAGTTTTATCCAATGTTACTTTTTAAATTTTTTTTATTTTTTTCGAGACAGAGTCTTGCTTTGTCGCCCAGGCTGGAGTGCAGTGCCCCATCTTGGCTCACTGCAACCTCTGCCTCCTGGGTTCAAGGGATTCTCCCGCCTCAGCCTCCTGAGTAGCTGGGATTACAGGCGTGTGCCACCACGCCCAGCTAATTTCTGTATTTTCAGTAGAGACGGGGTTTTACCATGTTGGCGAGGGTGGTCTCAAACTCCTGACCTCAAGTGATCCGCCTGCCTCAGCCTCCCGAAGTGCTGGGATTACAGGCGTGAGCTACCATGCCTGGCCCAATGTTACTTTTGAACCTTCAGGGAAAATCCCAATACAGTGAAAGAAACAAATAATATTTTAGTATTATTCTCAAAGTGGTTTTGGTCTGGAGGACCTTCTGAAAGGTCCTGCAGACTTCTGGTATGTAGAAATCCTTACTTCTTTCTTGGCAGTTGAAAAAGAAAAAAAGAAACCAAGAACTCTTACCAACTTAATCTTGGTTATCAATCTTAATCTCTCTGTACATACTGACTCCTCCAAGTCCTTCCTACTAACACTCTGCGCATACTCCTTCCATTAATTACAGTGGCTCATTTTGGCATGATTCTCAAGAATCATGAAGTAATTTATAAATTACAGGTGATTTTATTTTTCGTCCTTCACCTCAAAGTATGGTGAAGGATGATTGGAAACCTACTGAATTAGAATTACTGCTAGCTGGGACCCTATCTGCTTTTTTTACCATACACTAAGGTGGTTTTAATATATAGCAGTTAGAAAACTACAGCTTTGAGGCCTTAGGAAGAAAACTAGATTGCTCAGAATAGAGGATGATATCATCATTATCATTTTTGTATTTATTGCTCAAAGTGGAAGGTGACATCACCACTATAATCTTTGTATTTTCAACACCCAGAGCTATCTGGCACAGGGCAGGAGCTGGCCAAATGCTTCATGAATGATTGAATGACTAATATGACTAGATTATAATGTTATTTGTCTGACACCAGGTTTCCAAATTGAATGATGACAAATTTAGCCTTACATTGTGTATTAAATAATATTTACAAGTGTATGTTTTAGAATTTTGAAAAATGTAAATTGGTTAATATGACTGTACTAGTTAAAATCATTAATGATTTTTTAATTGTACGTAAGCTTCTTATTTCAGCCCACATGATATGGCCTATGCCTACCTATCCTTCCTAGTCTTTTGTCATTCTCCTTGTTTGTTGTGTTTTAGGATTAACAAAACATTTGTTGGTCCAGGCAAGGTGGCTCACACCTGTAATACCAGCAGTGTGGGGGGCTGAGGTGGGAGGATTGAGGCCAGGCCTTTGAGACCAGCCAGGACAACATAGCGAGACCCCTTTTCTAGAAAAAGTAAAAAATTAGCCAGGCATTATTGTACACACTTGTAGTCCCAGTTGCTGGGGAGGCTGAGGTGGGAGGATTACATGAGCCCAGTAAGTCAAGGCTGCAGTCAGCTTTGATCCTGTCAGTGCTCTCTAACCTGGGTGGCAGAGTGAGAACACATCTCAAACAAAAACAGAAAACTTCGGCCATTGTTTTCTCCCTAATTGTTGCAACATGCTACACTCTTTACTTTAGGGCCCTTGCATTTGCTGTTCTCTCTTCCGAGACATTGCTTTCCCCAGCTCTTTTCTTGACTTTTCTTATCCTTCAAATAACAATTTAGTTGTCGCGTACTTAAAGGTGCCTTTCCTGTTTTTTTGGAAGTAGTCTGTTTTCCTCTACTGCACATAGAATAGCAGTGAAGTAAATATTTCTGTTTGTTTCTTTTATAGTGTTTATCACAATTTGAAGTTACTTAAGTTGTTACTTACTGTCTGCCTGTCTCCTTTAGAATATATGCTCCATGAGAATGTAGACCTGCCTGTCTTGTTTACTGTTCTATCTTCATAATCAGAAACAGTCCTGGTACTTAATAGGTATTTTGCAAAACTTATTAATATGTTTATAAATAGGTGAATGAATGAGTGAAAAGGATATATGAAAGAAAATTATTTTGGTTACACAATAAATAATGAGTGAAGGTAACAGTTATATTATTATTATTATTTTTTTTTGAGACAGTGTCTCACACTTTCGCTCAGGCTGCAGTGCAGTGGCGCAACCTCGGCTCACTGCAAGCTCCGCCTTCCGGGTTCATGCCATTCTCCTGTCTCAGCCTCCCGACTGGCTGGGACTACAAGCCCCCGCCACCACGCCTGGTTAATTTTTTTGTTTGTATTCTGTCTCAGCCTCCCGACTGGCTGGGACTACAGGCCCCTGCCACCACGCCCGGCTAATTTTTTTGTTTGTATTTTTAGTAGAGACGGGGTTTCACCGTGTTAGCCAGGATGGTCTCGACCACCTGACCTCGTGATCTGCCTGCCTCGGCCTCCCAAAGTGCTGGGATTACAGACGTGAGCCACCGCGGCTGGCCAACAGTTATATTTAAATTTAAAAACAATAGGCAGTAGTGAGAAGGGAAGAAAGAATAGAACAGGGAGTTCCATCTGTAACTGACTGTGAATAATCTATTGAGATAACTCACAGACAAGCTATATAAGTATATATATTTATATACTTAATAGAGTTGGGATCTTGCCATGTTGATCAGGCTGGTCTTGAACTCCTGGCCTCAAGCAGTCCTCCCATCTTGGCCTCCCAAAGTGTTGGGATTACAGGTCTGAACCACTGTGCCTGGCTGCCAAGCCAGCTATATTTATTAGTAAAGATTTTGCATAAATAACTTTGTTCTGCTAGATTATTAAGTTAAACATTACATGCATATGAGGACTTCTGGTGTATAAAATTGCTTGTGGAATATGACATTTTCTATTAATAAATGAGTAAATGTGATTCTAAACAATTGTTAAAAGCCATGTAAAGGAGAGCAACACTAATTCTTGGTGGAAAATAAGTATGTAGGCTGGGTGTGGTGTCTCACGCCTGTAATCCCAGCACTTTGGGAGGCCCAGGTGGCTGGATCACTTGAGGTCAGGAGTTCACGACCAACTTGGCCAACATGGTGAAACCCTGTCTGTACTAAAAATACAAAAATTAGCTGGGCATGGTGGCGCTCGCCTGTAATCCCAGCTACTCTGGAGGCTGAGGCAGGAGAACCACTTGAACCCAGGAGGTGGAGGTTGCAATGAGCCAAGATTGCACCACTGCACTCCAGCCTGGTGACAGAGCGAGACTCCATCTCGATAAATAAATAAGTAAATGTGTAAATGAATAAGATTAAAATCCTTGCTGTTTATAATTTTCTAAGAATCATTTTGTTATTTATTTTAGGTAAACACTTTCAGCGTTTATAGATTTTATTTTAGGGACTTGGGAATACATATCTCTTATTTTCTTAAAAAACCAGTGGGGACCATGTTTTACTGTGTTGTAAAATAGTGACACTGTCAGGATTTAGTGAGGAATTTGGTGATATTTGCCTGCTCTTTAAATGACCTCAGATTTCTGTACTATTCATGTTTATTATTATTTTAATGACCTTTTAGTTTGGAAAGATTTTAGATTTACTGAAAAGTTATAAAGATAGTACAGAATTTCTGTATATTCCTCACCGATTTTCCCCTACTGTTAACATCTTACAGTAACATCTTACTCTTACATGGTACATTTATTAAAACTAAAAATAGTAGTTGGTCAGTACAATTAACTCCAGATTTTATTTGATTTCACCAGTTTTTACACTAATGTCCTTTCTTTCCTTTTTTGCTTTTTTTTTGGTTTGAGACGGAGTCTCGCTCTGTCGCCCAGGCTGGAGTGCAGCGGCACAATCTTGGCTCACCGCAAGCTCTGTCTCCCGGGTTCACACCATTCTCCTGCCTCAGCCTCCCGACTGGCTGGGACTACAGGTGCCCGCCACCACGCCTCGCTAATTTTTTTGTTTGTGTTTTTAGTAGAGACGGGGTTTCACCGTGTTAGCCAGGATGGCTCTTGACCTCGTTATCGCCCGCCTTGGCCTCCCAAAGTGCTGAGATTACAGGTGTGAGCCACTGCGCACAGCCCACTAATGTCCTTTCTCTGTTCTAGGATCTTATCCAGGTTACCACATCGTGTTTAGTGAGCCTGTCTTTAGTCTTCTCTGATCTGTGACAAATTGTTAATTTTTCTTTGTTTTTCATGACCAAGACAGTTTTGAGACACTGTCAGGCATTTTGTGAAATGTTCCTTCATTTGGATTTGTCTGATTTTTCCTCCCCACCCCTCTTAATTAGATTGGAGTTACGGGTTTTGGGGATGAATACCACAGAGGTATAATGACCTCATCATATATTGGGGTTACATTAAATTAATGTTGGTGAGGTTAACTTTGATCGTTTGGTTAAGGTAGTAAGTGTTTGCCAGGTTTGTCTGTTGTAAAGTTGCTATCTTCCTTTTGCCGTATTCTGTTCTTTGGATGTGAGTCGCTGAAGTCCAACCCACACTTTGGATGAGGAAATATTTGCATACATTACTTGAGTTCTTCTCTAAGGAAGATTTGTCTCTGCCCCTCCCCCACTCAACTTATTTATATCCGTATGGACTCATGTATATTTATTTTGTACTTTGGAAGGTAATCCAATCCCACACTATTTTGTTGCTCAGAATTTTTCAGCCTTAGCTATTGGGATTATTTTTAGGTTGGTACCTGAATCCTTTTGGCATGTTCCATTCTTTGGACTTTTAAGCACTCTCTTGCTTTCTTCAAGATGCTTCAAGCTCATCTTATATTTTCCTGCCCTGTGGGTAGAATGTTCTATTTCTCCAAGGAGCCTTGCTTTCTTTTATTGGGAAATGATATTTAGAAACAAAGATTTGGGGCCGGGCGCGGTGGCTCACGCCTGTAATCCCAGCACTTTGGGTGGCTGAGGCAGGCGGATCACCTGCGGTCAGGAGTTCAAGACCAGCCTGACCAACATGGAGAAACCGTGTCTCTACTAAAAATACAAAATTAGCCGGGTATGGTGGTGCATGCCTGTAATCCCAGCTACTCAGGAGGCTGAGGCAGGAGAACCGCTTGAACCCGGAAGGCGGATGTCGCAGTGAGCCGAGATTGTGCCACCCTCACTCTGGCCTGGGCAACAAGAGCGAAACTCTGTCTCAAAAACAAAAAAAACAAAAAACTAAGATTTGGGCATTGAATGTGTTAATGGCTACTGGGTATCACTGCTTCTAAGTCCTGTCAGGGGACAGAGACAGGAAATATATTTATTTATAGTAGCATATGTACACACATATCTCTTTCTGTATCTATCCATTTTTATGTATATTAAGATTTAAAAAAATTTTTTTTAGGCAGAGTCTTGCTCTGTTGCCCAGGCTGGAGTGCAATGGCACGATCTTGGCTCACTACAACCTCTGCCTCCTGGGTTCAAGCGATTCTCCTGCCTCAGCCTCTCGAGTAGCTGGGACTACAGGCGCCCATCACCACACCCAGCTAATTTTTGTGGGTTTGTATTTTTTTTTTTTCTTTTTTAGTAGAGATGGGGTTTCACCGTGCTGGCGAGGCTGGTCTTGAACTCCTGGCATCAAGTGATCCACCCACCTCGGCCTCCCAAAGTGCTGGGATTACAGGCGTGAGCCACTGCACCTGGCCTATGTATATTAAACTTAACATGAGTTTGTACTCATTTCTCCAACTCTAATCCAGTACCACAGGGCTTGTTTTACTGTTTTCCCTGTACTTATCTGTAACTTCTCTCCTCAACATTGAGAAACCTGGCTCCCACCCACCATCTACCATTCATTTTACCTATTTGTTCAATGCCAGTATACATGAAAAGCAGGTGTAGAACTGTTAACCTATACCTCTGTTTGAAACAAATTTACCAGCTAGAGTATAAGTTTTTATACAGCTTTTGTGCCTTTAGCGTTACAATTTCTAATCAAAGCATCATTTCCCAAAGTTAAGTAACTTTGGGAAGTTCCTGAACTTCATACGTATCTTTTTTTTTTTTTTTTTTTGAGACGGAGTCTTGCCCTGTTGCCCAGGCTGGAGTGCAGTGGCGCGATCTTGCTCACTGCAACCTCTGCCTCCTGGGTTCAAACGATTCTCCTGCCCCAGCCTCCCGAGTAGCTGGGATTACAGGCGTTCACCTCCATGCCCAGCTAATTTTTGCATTTTTAGTAGAGACGGGCTTTCACCACGTTGGTCAGGCTGGTCTCAAACTTCTGACCTCGTGATCTGCCCGCCTCGGCCTCCCAAAGTGCTGGGATTACAGGCATGAGCCACCGCGTCTGGCCTTTTTTTTTTTTCGAAGACAGAGTCTTCCTCTGTCACCAGGCTGCAGTGCAGTGGCATGATCTTGGCTCACTGTAACCTCCGCCTCCTGGGTTCAAGCGATTCTCCTGACTCAGCCTCCCGAGTAGCTGGGATTACAGGCACCCACCACCAAGCCCAGCTAATTTTTGTATTTTTAGTAGAGATGGGGTTTCACCATGTTGGCCAGGATGGTCTCAATCTCCTGACCTCATGATCCACCCACCTTGGTCTCTCAAAGTGTTGGGATTACAGGCATGAGCCACCGCGCCCGGCCAGTTGTATCTTGTATTTGTAATACTGTTAGATTCATTTGTCACCATCTACATTTCATCCTAGGATATCCTGACGTATTGGTAAATTTTTTTGTTTGGTTAACTTGCATACATTAAAGTTCATTATTTATGATTTCAGTTATATGGGTCTGACAAATGCATAAAAGTCTATTTCTTTGAAAAAAATGTGTGTATGTATAGATAATTTCTTTTAGGTGTCATTATGCCTGTTTGTAGCAGTCTGTTGCTTTCCCCCTGGTTGTTGGTTTTCAAACAAGATCCTGTGGTTGGGTGTTTGGAAAATAAATTTATTGGAATTGAGTGAAGTTAAGTCTTGAATTTTTGGGAACTTTCTTGGGAGTAAAATACATGAGTTTCCCTTGTATTAACTAAAATGTTGATTTTGTTAAGGCAAATAAATGCTTTTCTCCCTTGGTTCTTGTTTGTGGTTTCATTTGAAGTTTGAATATAGGATTAATAAATATCACAATGTTTTAGAAAAATTAGGCCAAATGTGGCAAGGAAGAACATTTGTTTGGTGATTATTTTTAACATTTGGATACATGGCTTTCATGCCACAAGTCAGATAATATATTGTTTAGGTTTTAAGGCAGAGAGATAGGTTTAAGTTACCTTAAGTAGTGGAGATTTATTATGGGAAGGTAAATGACATAAAAGTCCCAACTGCTGCATAACAAGGTGTCAGGAAGACAGAGAGTGGTTGAGGAAATGGGCAGTCATTGAGGAAACCAGGGAGCTCTAACTACTTTACTCTAACTACTCCTGCTGTGGTTCTCAACTAGAGGCTGTAGTAAGAACTGTCTGTGGGGCCCTCCTTCAGATCTGTTCAGTCAGTCAGTCTTCTTTAGTAATGGGGATTGTCTGTTTTCTTCTAAAACTCTGTATATGATTCTGATAAACACTTCTTCTCTACTATTTTGACATTAGGTTATTCAAGGTCAGTTTCTTCTGAATTGGTGTACGATTGACTATTTAAACTGTGTGAGGGAGATGGGAAAGAGTTGGACACTGATTAGTTTATCTAGTCACCACGTTTAATTTGTATAGAACTCTTGCTGCTGAGACTACCGTATTGGCTGCTGGCTCTTCCTGATTTAGTCATCTGTTGCTAGATGGAAGGGTCCTGTGATATTATGCCTTATATTACCATGCTTGGTACTACTTGCCTCTGCATTTGGCTGTGGTCAACAAGTAATGCAGAAGTGACTAGAAGTTACTATAGATATGGGTTTAGAGGTGGCTTTTCTGTGCAGGTAGAAGTTAAATTGAAATCCCAAACGCCGTGACGTTCTCAGTGGGAGAGTTTTCCTTTTAGAGGGAATGTATGGCTGAAATACAGTGAAAAATGTTGGAGAAGGAGGCTAAAACTGTATCCTATATCATCTTATATAGGATTGGTAAAATAGTTTGTGTTTTATTCTAATTATGATAGGAAGCCATGTGAAATGACAGAGTTCAAGTAATTTGACTCATGCATTTAAAAATGTTATAATGGAGCAATCATTGAATGAAGAACAATGACTTAAAAATAAAAAAAATCTAAAAATTATATATTTATTTTTATAGACAGGGTCTCATTCTGTCACCTAGTTGCTGCAGTGCAGTGGTGTGATCGTAGCTCATTGCAGCCTCCAACTCCTGGGTTCAAGCAGTCCTCCTGTCTTGGCCTTCCAAGTAGCTGGGAATGCAGGTGTTTGTCACCACGCCCAGCTAATTTTAAAATTTTCTGTAGAGTTGGGGGTCTTGCTTTATTGTCCAGGCTGGTCTCCAGCTCATGGCTTCAAGCAATCCGCCTGCCTCATCCCCTCAAAGTATTGGGATTACAGTTGTGAGTCACCATGCCTGGCAAAATATTTTAAAATTTCCTTGCTAATGTAACTTTGGCATCAATATAATTTAGTCATTAGTTTCCGTTCTTTTTAAATTTAAAAGTACTGTTTTTAGATAACTGAGTTAAGACAGTTTTTTTCTTTCTTTTTTTTTTTTTTAAATTAAGACAGTTTCTGATTTGGACTTGGATATAGTCTATCTATAGTTTGTCCATTATCTGTTATATTAATAAATGGCTAGTTTCTACATATCAGTCAATAATTATTTACTAATTACATAGTAACATTTCACAGGGAGTTGAAGTAGAAAATAAGTACAAACGAGCCCCTGCTACAGTTCAGAGGAGCCAACACTAGAAGTTAGCAATATCTATCTTTAAATTGTGATTTTTCTGACAATCATCAACTAAAGCAATGGCATGGCATTCCAGTACCATGGTGTTTTTAGCTTGCTTTTTGTTTTTTAAAATTCAGACTCACAGTTTTTTAATACTTTATTTTTTATTTTTAAAAAATTGGGATTAAAATTACATAACATTTGCCTTATTAACCATTTTTAAATGTATAGTTCAAGGCATTAAGTACATTGACATTGTGCTGTCACCACTGCTGTTTATCCATAGCAGATTCACAAATTTTGATGATTTTCTGAAAAACAGGAATTAAATATATTTTACTTAATATATGTAATTATTAATAAGTGTGAAACCTCATGTAAAGATCAGTTTAGTATTAGTTAACTTTTAGAGACAGCAAAGAAAAATAAAATGAACATTAGGGATAGCTCTTGCATTAAATGTTAGGATTCCTATATGTGATTATTGTTAATATTTTAATATCAAGTTATATAGTTAGGCATTGTGTCCCCACCCAAATCTTATCTTGAATTGTAATCCCCAGGCGTTGAGGGAGAGACCTGGTGGGAGGTGATTGGATCATGGGTCTGGTTTCCTCTCTGCTGTTCTCATCGTAGTGAGGGATTTCTCACGAGATCTGATGGTTTTATAAATGGCAGTCTCTTCTGGGCTTTTCTCTTCTCTCTCCTGATGCCATGTGAAGAAGGTCCTTGCTTCCCCCTCACCTTCTGCCACCTCCCCAGCCATGTGGACCTGTGAGTCAATTAAACCTGTTTTCTTTATAAATTACCCAGTCTTGAGTGGTATCTTTATAGCAGTGTGAAATACATCAAGACTTTTTTTTGGGGGGGGATGGATAATCATTTCATAGAATGGTAAAATCTGGGAAAATGTGATTCCATAGGCAAAGTATTGCCTTATGAAAAAAATTTTGAGACATACCTAATGTGTAAAGATGGCCATAATAGAAGTAAATTATTAGATGTTGCTTGGGAAAATATATTTCAAAAGAAAAAAGATACTGAATAACAAGGAGACAAATTAATGGTATCCAGTGTTTGGGGCTTTGCTCAAAATGAGAATATGCATTTTAGGCCAGGCACGGTGGCTTAAGCCTGCAGCCCCAGCACTTTGGAAGGCCAAGGTGAGAGGATCACTTGAGGCCGGGTATGGGCAACACAGCAAGACCCCATCTCTACCAAATATTAAAAAACTAGCCGGTCATGGTGGCGTGTGCCTGTAGTCCTAGCTACTCGGGAAGCCGAGGTGGGAGGATTGTGTAAGCTCAGTGAGCTATGATGATCATGCCACTGCACTCCAGCATGAGTTTCTGGATTCTCTTTAATAATTATAGCCAACATTTTTTGAACCTTTACTATATGCCAGGCATTTGCACTTGCATTTCTCTTTTATTTTATTTTTTTTGAGACAGAGTCTTGCTGTCTTGCTCAGGGTGGAGTGCAATGACCTGATCTCGGGCTCATTGCAACCTCCTCCTCCTGGGTTCAAGTGATTCTCCTGCCATAGCCTTCTGAGTAGCTGGGATTACAGGTGCCCACCACCACGCCCAGCTAATTTTTGTATTTTTAGTAGAGATGGAGTTTGACCATGTTGGCCAGGCTGATCTCGAACTCCTGACCTCAAATGATCCTCCCGCCTTGACTTACCACAGTGCTGGGATTACAGGTGTGAGCCACCGTGCCTGGCTGCATTTCTCTTTTAATACAGCGGTCATATGAAGAAACTGAACCTTGGGTTGTTCAAAGTCATGTAGTTGGTGCTGGTTTTTCAACCAGCTGACTCTGCAGTTGGAGCTCTTAATCACCATGTCATATTGTTTGTTTTAATAAAGCATAAGTTTTAATAAAGCAATATCCTAGATTATTAACCATGTATGTTTACTTGAATATAAAATATTAGAAAATAATTTAACTCATACTACATATTTTATTTTGTGAAGTTTCATAGTGTAAAATAAAAGTAAGGGTATGCTGGGCATGGTGGCTCATGCCTGTAATCCCATCATTTTGGGAGGCTGAATCATTTGAGGTCAAGAGTTTGAGACCAGCCTGGCCAACATGGTGAAATCCCACCTCTAACAAAAAATGCAGAAATTAGCCAGGCGTGGTGGTGGCGGTGGCAGTGGTGGCGCACACCTGTAGTCCCAGCTACTTGGGAGGCTGAGGCAGGAGAATCGCTTGTACCTAGGAGGCAGAGGTTGTGGTGAGCTGAGATCGTGCCACTGTACTCCAGCCTGGGTGACAGAGTGAGAACCTCTCTCAAAATAAATAAATAAATTAAATAAGTAAATAAATTAATTAAAAGCAAGATAATTTTAAGAAAATTCTCTAATGTGTAAAATTAAAGATGTTGTTTTCCTGCGGTCATCATTGTGACTTAAGGTTAAAGATTTTAGCCATGCATGTTGCTTAAACTATACAGTGCACATGATTGAATGTTACTCTTGTAAATAATATTTTTCAAGCATGAGAAGTCCTAAACCTTCAGTGGCTCCCCATTGACTGTCTGTCTACACAGAAAATGAGCAAACTGCTTAACCTAGGTTTTAAAGGGGTCAGCTATTCTAGCTTTCCCTTTCTCAACTATGCAGGTTTTTGTTTCATGAACTGAATTTGTCATATCCACTTCTATGCTTTTGTTCATGGCTTCTTTCTGTTTGAAATACCCTGCCGTCTTCTGCTTCTCTATTTCTGCTTTCTAGTTTATCCCTTTTTCTTCCCAACATTTTCCTTCTTCTGAACTCTAAATCCTTTATTAGGTGCTGTATATATCCTACCTTGTTTTATTTAGTTGTTTACCCAACTAGATAGGTCTTTTGATGGAAACGGCTGTTGCTGGTGCTTTTTTGTAGTTAGTGTCATATACACAAAGATCTCAATAATTGCTTGCTGGTAAAGAGGATAAGCCATATATGCAGTCTCAGTAATGTTGCTTAATTAACATTTTCATTTTGTTCATCCTGTCTCATAAATCTCGTTTATAATCTGAAAATATATACTCTTGCTTGAAATATTTTGGTGTTTAATTTCATCAGGAAATGAAAGACTCTCTAAAAGAAAAAAAGCTATATTTGTATTGATTAGCAAAAATAGCAAAAAAATTATGATCATAGTAATATGTGAATTTTTAGAAATGAATATTCTCTTGACAGTTGAGATATTTAATTATCCTTACTTTATATTGGTTCTGAAAATATATTCTTTCTTTTTTTTTTTTGAGACAGTCTTGCTCTGTCACCCAGACTGGAGTCCAGTGGTGTGATTTCAGCTCACTGCAACCTCTGCCTCCCAGGTTCAAGTGATTTTCATGCCTCAGCCTCCTGAGTAGCTGGGATTACAGGCATGTGCCACCATGCCTGGCTAATTTTTGTATTTTTTGTAGAGATGGAGTTTCACCCTGTTGGCCTGCCTGGTTTCGAACTCCTGGCTTCAAGTCATCTGCCCTCCTCAGCCTTCCAAAGTGCTGGGATTACAGGTGTGAGCCACCATGCCTGGCTGAAAATATATTCTTTATAGTTCTGAATTATACTTTCTAAGTTTGGAATGTACATGGAGAAAGCATTTAAGTTTAGCTTTTTTGTGCTGTTAGTGTTTTTCTACTTCCAACTCTATTTAAAAATTTTAAACTGTGAGAATTTGCTTCCCCATTTGATACTTTATCTTTTCCTCATCCATTGTTCAGTTGTGGAGTACTAATCTCAGGGGAAACATTTATTAAAAGTAATTGCAATTAAATTAGCTGGGTATGGTGGTGCACATCTGGAATCCCAGCTACTCGGGAGGCTGAGGCAGAAGAATCACTTGAATCTGGGAGAGGTTACGGTGAGCTGAGATTGTGCCACTGTATTCCAGCCTGGGTGACAGAGTCAGAATGTCTCAAAAAAGCAAAGAAAAGAAAAAGGAAATTTACTATATTAAGAGTCTTAGTTGGAATTAAAATTTCATATTCATAATTTATGGGCCACTTGAAGAGAAAGTGATTTGTATGTACAGTCCAACTCTGGACATTGTGGGTTCTTTTTTAATTGTCTCTATATTTTTAATATATGAGTGTATTTTTTAGTAATTTTTAGGAATGTGACTTGTTAGCACTAATGCTTATTTGGACATCATTTTCAGCATTTTTGATTTTTGCCACATTTAAATGTATCAGAGTTTAGACTCCTTTCTTAGCTCATCATTAAAGTGTTCTGCTTCTTAGGAAGAAATGAATCTAGGACACTACTGTCTTTTTTTCTAGGTACACACTAATGGATGTGGAAGCTAAGTGCTGTACTCTTGAGATCTGGGTGGCACCTCCCATGTGTCTAGGAGATAGAGAATGGGTTCAAGAGGAGTATGGGCTTTTACATAACTGGTCCCCAAAAGTCCCAAAATGTTTATATATTGCCTGCTGACTCCTCTGACCGTCACAAAGATCAGGAGATGAGAATTTTCTTCAAACTCTAGTTTTGTCTAAAGGAGCTTTGTCTCAGGAGAATGCATAATTTAGGTATCATCCTACTTACCAAACTGGTGTGCATGTGTATTTCTTTTTAAATAATTCTTTTACATTAGTTTTACTTTCCTTTTGCAGACTAAGTAGGAATAAACGTTATTTATTTATTTGTTTGTTTTTTTGAGATGGAGTTTTGTTCTTGTCACCCAGGCTGGAGTGCAGTGGCACGATCTTGGCTCACTGCAACCTCTGCCTCCCAGTTTCAAGCGATTCTCCTGCCTCAGCCTCCCGAGTAGCTGGGATTACAGGTGCCTGCCACCACGTCCAGCTGATTTTTTGTATTTTTAGTAGAGATGGGGTTTCATCATGTTGGCCAAGCTGGTCTCAAACTCCTGACCTCAGGTGATCCACTTGCCTCGGCCTCTCAAAGTGCAGGGATTACAGGCATGAGCCACTGCGCCCTGCCAATTTTTTTTTAAATTTTCATGGTATTCCTCTTATGGCTTAAGAAAATAATCAGCAGAGTACCCCTTAGAACTTTCATGATTTCACTACCAATTTTTTTTTGGTTTGTTTTTTGGTCTTTTTAGAGATGTATTTTCACTCTTGTTGCCCAGGCTGAAGTGCAATGGCGCAATCTTGGCTCACTGCAACCTCTGTGCCTCCCCGCAACCCTGGCCCCCCTGGGTTCAAGTGGTTCTCCTGCCTCAGCCTCCCAAGTAGCTGGGACTACAGGTGCATACAACCATGCCCGGCTAATTTTTGTGTTTTTAGTAGAGACAGGTTTTCACCATGTTGGCCAGGATGGTCTCCATCTGTTGACCTCGTGATCCACCTGCCTCAACCCCCCAGAATACTGGGATTACAGGCGTGAGTCACCGTGCCCGGCCGCAAATGTTTTAATTTTTACTTAGAAGCAAATTTGAGTCATTGGAAAAGTATATAACACCTTAAATATTCATTACATAAACCATCTTGTCAGGGATAAGTACCTTGGTTTTCTTAAATAAGTATATTTTGAATGTAAAACTGAAAATGTGATTTTCCAACCAGTATATTATAGTAATTGGCATTAAGTGTTGCACATTTAAATTATTAACTGCAAATGATGTCATAAATTGATTTAACTTTGTTGATTATCAGGCAAAAACATGGTGAATAAAGGAAGTGCCCCTATTTTTGTATTACAGAGGAAGTTAGCATGTTTTGTGAATATCCATGATATTAAACTGTTACAAAAGATTGGAGGGAGGGAGGGAGGGAGCGAGCGAGAAACAATTAGCAGTTTCTGCTTTAACTAATTTTTTATTTTTATCACACTTATGAACTCCTATAAAAAGATTTATCTAAATTGTCTTTTTTCTTTGTTGATTTTATTGAGGTGAAATTCATATAATACAAATTAGCAATTATAATGTGTGTATTTCATTGACATTTAATACATTCACAATGTTGTGCAACTACCACCTGTATCAAGTTTCAGAACATTTTTCTAACTCCAAAAGAAAACCCCTATTAAGCAGTCACTCTCCTTTTCCTCCTCTTATCCCCCATAAACCACAAATCTGCTTTCTGTTTCTATGGATTTACCTATTTTGGATATTTTACATAAATGATATGGTATTGTATGTGACTTCTTGTGTCTGGCTTCTTTCACTTAGCATGGCACTTTCAAGGTTCATTCACATAGTAGCATATATCAGTACTTCATTCTTTTTTATGACTGAATAATACTTTATTGTATGTATATAACACATTTTGTTTTTCCATTTATCTGCTGACGGACATTTCAAAAGACTGTTCCACCTTTTGGCTTTTGTGAATAGTGCTGCCATCAGTATTTGTGTACAAGTATCTCTGTTTAAATACCTGCTTTTAATTCTTTTTTTTTTTCTCTTCCCGAGACAGAGTCTTGCTCTGTCACTGAGTCTGGAGTGCAGTGGCATGATCTTGGCTCACTGCAACCTCCGTCTCCTGGGTTCAAGCAATTCTCCTGCCTCAGCCTCCCAAGTAGCTGGGATTACAGGCACCCGCCACCACACATGGCTAATTTTTGTATTTTTAGTAGAGACGGGGTTTCACCATGTTGGCCAGGCTGGTCTCGAACTCCTGACCTCAGGTAATCCACCCACCTCGGCCTCCCAAAGTGCTGGGATTACAGGCATGAGCCACTGTGCCCAGCCTGTTTTTAATTCTTTTAGATATATACCTAAGAGTGGAATTGGTGGGTCAGTGGCAATTCTGTGTTCAACATCTTTAGGAACTGACAAACTTTTCCACAGTGACTGCACCATTTTAGAGTCCTACCAGCAATATATGAGGATTCTAGTCTGTCTCTTAGCTGTCACTTGCCATTTTCCCTTTTTTAAAAATAGCCATCCTAGTAGGTATGAAGTGGTAGCTCATTGTGGTTTGATTTACATTTCCATGATGGCTAAAAAGGATGATCATCTTTTCATGTGCTTATTGGTCATTGTATTTCTTCCTTGGAGAAATGTCTATTTAAGTCCTATGCCCATTTTAAAATTGGGTTGTCTCTTTTGTTGTTGAGTTGTAAGAGTTCTGTATATATTCTGGGTATTAATCCTGTATGTGATTTGCAAGTATTTCCTCCCATTCTGTAGGTTGTCTTAGCTTTTTTTTTGAGATGGAGTCTCACTCTGTTGCCTAGGCTGGAGTGCAGTAGCACGATCTTGGCTCACTGCAACCTCCATCTCCTGGGCTCAAGCAATTCTCCTGTCTCAGCCTCCTGAGTAGCTGGGACTACAGGTGCACACTACTATGCCTGGCTAATTTTGGTATTTTTAGTAGAGAAGGGGTTTCACCATGTTGGCCAGGCTGGTCTAGAACTCCTGACCTCAAGTGATCCACCTGCCTCGGCCTCCCAAAGTGCTGGGATTATGGGGGTGAGCCACTGCATTCGGCCCATACTATTCTCTTATCCTTTTCTGTAAGGTAATTAGTAATGTCTTTATTAAATTGGCTTTTAAGTAGAGCTTTTAATTTTTTGTTGTTGTTATATCATTTCTTAATTTGGTATGTTTTTGACACAGCCAGCTTTGTTTCACTTGCTTCAGAAGGTGGGGAATTGAAAACGAATGAGTAATACAACATCCAAAAGTTACTTTGTACTGGATTTTCTGTATATGAGTTCAAAGAAAGGTTCATCAGACCACCAGACCATCTCTCTGCTACATCAGTTATAGAAACATTTGAGAGATTATTATAAAAAAAGGTATTTCACATATAATTTTGTGTAGTGCTGTTCCTAGTCTGCACCTTTCTGAATCTTGTAGTATAAGGCGCTTGATATAATTTTATATTATTGAATCTTCCACATGCTTGGTTTTAGTTATATTTCTTTTCTTTTCTTTTCTTTTTTTTTGAGACAGAGTCTCGCTCTGACGGCCAGGATGGAGTGCAGTGGCACGATCTTGGCTCACTGCAACCTCTGCCTCCTGGGCTCAAGCAATTTTCCTGCCTCAGCCTCCCGAGCAGCTGGGATTATAGGTGTGTGCCACCACGCCTGGCTAAGTTTTATATTTTTAGTAGAGATGGAGTTTCACTATGTTGGCCAGGCTGGTCTTGAACTCCTGACCTCAGGTAATCCTCCCACCTCGGCCTCCCAAAATGCTGGGATTACTGGCGTGAGCCACCTTGCCCGGCCTTAGTTGTATTTCTTTAAATTAGGTTTTTGTGCCTGTAGTTCCAGCTACTTTGCAAGGCTGAGGTGGAAGGTTTTTTTGAGCCTAGGAGTTCTAGTTCAGCCTGGGCAACACAGCAAGACTCTATCTCTAAAAATAATAATAAAAAATAAAGGGTTTAGGCTGGGCACGGGGACTCATGCCTATAATCCCAGCACTTTGGGAGGCCACAATAGGAGGATCTCTTGAGCCCAGGAGTGCAAGACCAGCCTGGGCTACAAAAAATTAAAAACAAATCATCTGGGCATGGTGATGCAAGCCTGTAGTCCTAGCTCGTTGGGAGGCTGAGTTGGGAGGATCACTTGAGCCCAGGAGGTCGAGACTGCAGTAAGCTATGATTGCACCACTGTACAACAGCTTGGGCAACAGAGCAAGACTCTTTTTCAAAAAAAAAGGTTTATGCTTACATTTTTCTGGGTGACTGTGCCTATGTTAGGTTTATGCCTAAGAAAGAGGGCCTACAATCTTTATAATTTAACAGCAAACATATCCTGCAGATGGTAAGAGATCCATATGAATGCATCAATGAGTAAATTAAAACATCTGAAAATGTAACAACAGCAAAATATTAAGGTGGCTTTTGGAGAGAGTTAAACTCTTTTGGTCTAATTTGTAGGTAATTATATGAAATATCTTTGTTTTATTTTGAGATGGAGTCTCGCTCTGTCACCCAGGCTGGAGTGCAGTGGTGTGATCTTGGCTCACTGCAACCTCCACCTTCTGGGTTCAAGTGATTTTCCTGTTTCAGCCTCCTACGTAGCTGGGATTTCAGGTGCCTGCCACCATGTCCAGCTAATTGGTCTATTTTTAGTAGAGACGGGGTTTCACCACGTTGGCCAGGCTGGTCTCAAACTCCTGACCTCAAGTGATCCCCCCACCTCGGCCTCCCAAAGTGCCGGGATTACAGGCGTGAGCCACCGTGCCGGCTGAATATCTTTGAACCTGCAATGTTGTTAAAGTGGTCAGTGGTATTAATAAAAAGTGTTTTGTGTATGCATTTGTGCTTTTTTTTTTTTGCTTCATCCTGGTGGGAATGATAGTGCATTTTGCGTGTCAATGAGAACTATACAGTTTGGTTAAAAAAAAGATGATAACAGATAGTAAACCTAAGACTCATCAGGAAGCCAGGTTGTATAACAGTGTCTAACATAGAATAGGTGTTTAATAAATGTTTGATTCAATAAAAAACCATGAAACTGCTTGAGTAGTTGGCTAAAATAAAAACGAGGCTGAGATCAACTAAATTAGAATTATGTCCTTTAAACAAGCTACATTTTCTAATACCATAATAAGATTACTGTAGCAAACGTAAAATTGTCGTGAGATCACAGGGGCAGAATTGTCCCTCTGGAGAGAGGGCTACTGAAAATTACGAAAGAGAGGCCAGGCGCGGTGGCTCATTCCTGTAATCTCAGCACTTTGGGAGGCCGAGGTGGCGGATTGCTTGAGGTCAGGAGTTCAGACCAGCCTGGCCAACATGGTGAAACCCCATCTCTACTAAAAATACAAAAATTAGCAAGGTATGATGGTGCATGCCTGTAATCCCAGCTACTCAGGAGGCTGAGACAGGAGACTTGCTTGAACCTGGGATGGGGAGGTTACAGTGAACTGAGATGGCGCCACTGCACTCCAGCCTGGGCAAGAGAGCAAGATTCTGTCCCCGTCCCCTGCCAAGAAAAAAGAGAAAAGTGAACTTGTGTTATATTTATTACAAAAGTAATTCAGGTAAGTTATAGAAAATTTAGAAAATACCGTGGCCAGGCACAGTGGCTCACGCCTATAATCCCAGCATTTTGGGGGGCCAAGGTGGGAGGATTGCTTGAGACCAGACTGGGCAATATAGTAAGATCCCTTGTCTTAAAAAAAAAAAAAAGTTAGTTGGGTGTAGTGATGCATCCCTGTAGTCCCAGGTGCTTGGGAGGCTGAGGTGGGAGGGTTGCTTGTTTCCAGGAGTTTGAGGTTACAGTGATTGTGCCATTGCACTCCAGCCTGGGCAACAGAGAGAGCCTGTCTTAAACACACACACACACACACACACACACACACACACACACACACACACACCCACACACACACCCCCAGAAAAGATTTAGAAAGTATAGATAAATATAAAGCTGAAATAAGTCACTTGTTATCCTAATATCTTTTTTAAACTTTTTTCTGTCTATAAAAATGAGATCATTATACACATATGTGTGATATATATGCGTATACACACACATATATGTATATATACGTGTATATATGTATATACACGTATATATATACACATGTGTATATATATACACGTAACATATATATGTATAATGTGTATATATACACACATATCACACATGTATATATGTGTATATATATTATGTATAAAGCAGGATATATATATATATATAGCTTTGTAGCCTGCTTAAATCACTTACCAGTAAGTCTAACATGAGACTTGGTGCTGAAATATTGGAGATTAGGAATCCTGCCAGAAAGTTTCCTGTGTATTTAATATAGTCTTACTTATCAAATGGCCAGTTGGATATAGTGACTAGATTTTCCTGTGTATGGAATAGACATTATTGGGAAAATTGGTTTGTCCATATCATTTATTTAAAATCACATTATTAGTATTAATAATATATATTATGCACATATGGTAGTCTACTTACCTACTTGTTTGGTATTTTAAACTTCTTAGTTTATCAACCATTTTTTTAACTTTTACTTTAAAATTAACAATTTTATTATAAATATGCTGTAAACTGCATCAGGACTTTTAAAGTATTTTCTAGTTTATGAGAAGAAAGAGTTAAAAATGGAATGGAAGTGTCCTCTTTAGAGAACATATTTACTATCTAAAATTCTGTGATGTCCATCTATGATGGACAACAATGACAAATTTGAATGAAAACAAACAAATAGACATTGAATTGTGAAACAAACGGAACACTTAATTTATATGTTAGGAATTTTCGGGAAAGCATGGAGATTGGAATGCAAGGATATGGACTGAAGAGTAGTTTTGTTGTCAGGGAAACAATTGAAAGAAAAGGAGACCTCCTTTGTAATTAATCTGACACTTCTTGGGGGACTTGTCCTTGTGCAATTTGGTCACTAACAGAACAGAGGCTGCACATTAATTAACTGGACTGTTTGCTACCAGGAGGTGTCCATAATACTAGAAATCTACTCATACTATTAGTAGTGGCAAATAGTTCAGGACTTAGGGAATTCTGGGTCGGGTTATCAGCATGACAGCTCCTGAACATAGTTCTACCATTCCATGGTGGAAGTGTTTGCAGTCAGCCCCACTTGGGTGTAGACATCTTTGGGTCCCTTGGTGTTAGTTGAAGCCAGAAGGAGCTCAGATCTGCAGATGCATCCTATTCCCGTATTTCCCCTACAAAGCATTTTCATCATTCCTTTTTTTATAGATGAGGAAACTGGCTCAGACAGATGTTCATTGGTTTGAGAACGCTCCCAGAAATTCTGCTTCAGTCTTTCTGGGTCAGCCTTTGGAGAGTCTTAATTTTTATTAAGCACAGCAGCTAATTCTATTCTATTTGGCTCTTGACCTACAGATTGAGACACACAGGACTCCTGACTTTTGGTTGGCCATTGTGAGTTTTTACTTCCATTTTTCTTTTTCTCCAGAAAAATGCTTACCCATCATTGCGAGTTTTGATTCTTATTATCTAAGTATGTTGGTCAGTCTCTCATTCTTCCAAGGCCTCAGATGACTCTCCAAGATAATATTTGAAGATAGAGGTTATAATAATTGCACAATAACTACTTTCTGTACTTTACATAAACAATTTTTAAAAAATGCATGTCTGTGTTTAGTGGGGAAAAAACCTCCCACTAAACACAAACACACATTTTCAAAAATCTATTAAGTTTTACTAAGAAATTATACTTTTATTAGGCCGGGCATGGTGGCTCATGCCCTGTTGTCCCAGCACTTTTGGAGGCCAAGCTGGATGGATCACTTGAGCCCAGGAGTTTGAGACCAGCTTGGACAATATCGTGAAACCTTGTCTCTACAAAAAATAATTAGCCAGGTGTGATGGTGCATGCCTGCAGTCCCCAGTTACTTGGAAGGCTGACATGGGAGGATTGCTTGAGCCCGGAGGTCAAGGCTGCAGTGAGTCATAATTATGCCACTGCACTCCAGGCCAGGTGACACAGCAAGACCCTGTCTCAAAGAAAAAATTATACTTTTATTAAAAATAGTTACTGACTATTGGCCGGGCGCGGTGGCTCACGCCTGTAATCCCAGCACTTTGGGAGGCTGAGGCAGGCGGATCACGAGGTCAGGAGATCGAGACATCCTGGCTAACATGGTGAAACCCCATCTCTACTAAAAAATACAAAAAAATTAGCCGGGCGTGGTGGTGGGCACCTGTAATCCCAGCTACTCAGGAGGCTGAGGCAGGAGAATGGTGTGAACCCGGGAGGCGGAGCTTGCAGTGAGCCGAGATGGCGCCGCTGCACTCCAGCCTGGGCAACAAAGCGAGACTCCGTCTCCAAAAAAAAAAAAAAAATAAAATACTGACTATTGACTGGTAAATGATTGGGACCTATTAATATTTCTCACACAGCAATTTTTATTTAATGAAATTATGTCAATAACTACAAAACAGTTTAGTATGGATTACTATTTCTGTCCTTTATAGAACAAAGTCCTGTATTATCCTATATTTATACAAAGCTTTTTTAAATTATAAAAATACTTGGTTATTATAGAAAAAGTTTGAACGTATAGAGATGACAAAGTATTCGTAATTTGACATCCCAGAATAATCACTGAAAGCATATTGGTGTACATCATTTACAAATGTGGCAGTGTTTACTCAGGTTGTTTTCAACATAAATACAATATTTTTCCAAAGATTTTATTTTATCTCCCTTTTTATTTTTTTCATTTTTTTTTTTTGAGACAGAGTCTTGCTCTGTTACCCAGGCTGGAGTGCAGTGGTGCGATCTGGGCTCACTGCAACCTCTGCTTCAGCGGAAGTTCAAGTGATTTTCCTGCCTCAGCCTTCCAAGTAGCTGGGACTACAGGTCGTGCCACCATGCCTGGCTAATTTTTGTATTTTTGGTAGAAAGGGGGTTTCCTCATGTTGGCCAGCATGGTCTTGAACTCCTGACCTCAGGTGATCCCCCTGCCTTGGCCTCCCAAAGGGCTAGGATTATAGGCGTGAGCCACCGCGCCTGGCCAGACCTAGTTTTAATGGCAAATAGTTATTAAAGACAGTTCATACTTACTATTCATCTTTCAGAAGAAAGGTGTCTGCTTCAAACTCTAATGACAGATCACCGAATAACCAGTAGTGGTAACTGACACTGGCTGGTAAGTGAGAACTTAGTAAAATTCTGTTCATCCTAAAATAAGTCTCTATTTAAACAGTGGAGGTATACAGAGCCATTTTTGTAATGTATTATGTGGGAATGAAGGGATGGTAGTTGGAAAGAGGCGCTAACTGCATTTAGACTTGTGAGAATTTTTGCTAGTTTTCTCACTTTTTGAATGAGGAGATTGGGCCAGTTGAGCTCTTGTTTGTTTAGTACTTTAGGAAAGGGTGGAAAGAGTTGGCTTTTAGCAAACATATGTTTAATATGTGTTATTCCATTTAATGCTTAACCACTCCATATAAAGTAAGTGTTTTATCCTCATTTTAAAAATTTTAATTTTATTTTATTATAAGTTCTAAGGTACATGTGTAGGATGTGCAGGTTTGTTGTAAACGTATGCCATGGTGGTTTGCTGCACCTGTCAACCCATCACCTCGGTATTAAGCCCGGCATGCATTAGCTATTTTTCCTAATGCTGTCCCTCCCACAACCCCCTGACAGGCCACAGTGTGTTTGTTCCCCTCCCTGTGTCCATGTGTTCTCATTGTTCAGCTCCTACTTATAAGTGAGAACATGCAGTGTTTGGTTTTCTGTTCTTGCATTAGTTTGCTGAGGATGATGGCTTCCAACTTCATCCATGTCCCTGCAAAGGACATGATCTCATTCCTTTTTATCCTCATTTTTATAGATAAGGAAACTGAAACTTAAAAGAGTTTTGTTTAGGTCACATACCCAGGTATTTCTGGCTTTATCTTCATTTCTTTCCCTTATATTTACTTTGTTCTCATTTATAATATTCTTTCCAACTCTAAAATTGTGGTTCTGTAACAGTGGAAAGAACACTGTAATGAACCCTCATTTACCCCATTTACAAGATTATTATCCTATGGCTGACTTGTTTCATCTGTACCCCTTTATAGTTGCCTCCCAGCATTAGTTTCTCCCACCACATTACTTTGACACAGAACTCACCATTCCCTCCCTCTCTTCCTCCCTCCGTCCCTCCTTCCCTCCTTCCCTTCTTCCCTTCCCTTCTCTTCCCTTCCTTCCCTCCCTTTTTTCCCTCCCTTTCTTCCCTTCCTTTCCTTTCTTTCTTTTTTTTGATGGAGTTTCGCCCTTGTTGCCCAGGCTGGAGTGCAATGGTGCGATCCTGGCTCACTATAACCTCTGCCTCTCCGGTTCAAGCGATTCTCCTGCCTCATCCTCCCAAGTAGCTGGGATTATAGGCATGCACCACCACTCCCGACTAATTTTGTATTTTTAGTAGAGACAGGGTTTCATTATGTTGGCCAGACTCGTCTCAAATTCCTGACTTCAAGTGATCCACCCGCCTCAACCTCCCAATGTGTTGGGATTACAGGGGTGAGCCGCTGCACCCAGCCTCACCATATCATTTCATCTGCAGACATTCCAGTATATAGCTCTAAAAGAAACTTGAACACCTGTGAAAAGAAGGGAATACAAATAAAAAAAGAAACTATTTTGTAAAAATTTAAAACATAACCACAATACTATTATCACTGTAAAAACAACAGTTCCTTCCTGTCTACTCAGTGATTTTTATTTAATTTTAATTTTAATTTTTATTATTTATTTATTTATTTGTTTTTTTGAGATGGAGTTTCGCTCCTGTTGCCCAAGCTGGAGTGCAATGGCGGAATCTCGGCTCACCGCAACCTCCGCCTCCCAGGTGCAAGTGATTCTCTTGCTTCAGCCTCTGGAGTAGCTGGGATTACAGCCATGCGCCACCACACCTGGCTAATTTTTTTTTGTGTTTTTAGTAGAGACGGGGTTTCTCCATGTTGGTCAGGCTGATCTCGAACTCCTGACCTCAGGTGATCCACCCGCCTCGGCCTCCCAAAGTTCTGGAATTACAGGCGTGAGCCACCGCACCCGGCCTACTCGGTGATTTTTATAATTTCTTTTTAAACTGCTTGAGATTCATGTAAGACCCCATACATTTTAATTAGTTGGTATGTCTGTTAAGTCTTTAATCTACACATTTCACCTCTATCTCACTTTCTCGTTTTCTTGCATTAAAAAAAAAACTGTGTTTGTGTGTGTGTTTGTGTACGTGTATGTGTATGTATAAAGAAACTGGGTTTTGACTTTCAGACATCCTCATACCGTGGAGGCTGCGATGGTGTTCAACGTTTTTCTGTCTCATGTATTTTATACAATTTGGTAATTTGATTTAGAGTATTCCTGTCTAATATAACGTAAGCCATAAATTTAAGCCATATATAATTTGAATTTTTCCATATATACTTTTTTAAAAAGTGAAAAGAAACGGGTAAAATTGGTTTGAATAATACTTTTATTTGACCCAGTATATCCACAATGTTATTATTTCAACATATAATCAATGAAATTAATGAAGTATATTGCATTCTTTTTTTGGTATGAATCTTAGAAATTTGGTGTGTATTTTATACTTATAGCACATCTCAGTATTAGCCACATTTCAAGTACCCAGTAGCAGTATGTGGCTAGTGACTCCTGTATTGAACAGCACAGATTTAGAGAACTGATCAGTCAGGCTTTTTGTTTTTATGTCAGGAAATAGAGAATGCCTGACTCTCTTGGTGTGGTGCTATTGGCAGCCATTCATGAACATTGTTTTTATCTATTGATTTATTAGGGCTTGCAAAGTGGTGATATTTTATCCTTCTACCTTCATTTATTATCTATAATACTTATCTAAAGGAATACTTCCCAACCTTGACTATTTGGTCACACCCCCGTCACCTGCCAAAAAACCCTACACAGTTCATATAGAAAAAGGATAAATAATGCTTGACCTTTTTCTTTTATTTACCAGTTTTCCAAATAATGAATTTGTTTCCTACCATTGTCCAAAAGTAACTGGGGAATATTTTGTTTTCACCTGTCATAGATATTTTAGCTTTCCTTGCTTCTTGGAGTATTAGTCAGTGTCCTTCAGAGAAACAGAACCAGTAGGGTATGTGTGTCTACACCTTTATAACTATATTTGTATCTATATCTATCTGTATCCCTATCTGTAGATCTGTTTATCTTCAATATAGAAAGAGATTTATTTGGAATTGACTCATGCCATTATGGAGGGCTGACAAGTGCCAAGATGTGCAGTCAGCAAGCTGGAGACCCAGGAGAGCTGACGGTGCGGTTTCACTTTGAGTCTGAAGCCCTAAGAAATGGGAGAGCTAATGGTGTAGTTAGAGACTGAGGATGGGTTGGTTGACTCAAGACTTAGGAAGAGCCAGTATTTCAGTTTGAAGGTGAAGGCAGAAGAAATCTGATGTTGTTGCTTGAAGGCTTAGTCAGGAGGAATTAGTTCTGTCTTACTTGGGGGAGGGTCAACCTTTTTGTTTTAGGCAGGCCTTCAACTGATGAGGTGGGGCCTACCCACATAGGGAGGATAATCTGCTTTACTTAGTCTGCTGATTGAAATGTTAATCTTATCTAGAAATACTCTCACAGATACATCCAGAAAAATGCTTGACCAAATGTCTGGGCACCCTCTGGTCCAGTTAAGTCAACACATAAAATTAACTGTCACATCCAGGCTCATTTTGTACATTTCCTGCCCTAAATATTGTTGTCAGTCAATGAATGCCCTTTGATGATACTTTTGATGATGAAAACACTTTGAGATTCATACTTTTCAAAGCTTTACTTTTAGTGTTTTTTCATTTGGAAAGGTGTAATTTCTTAAAAGTGATTACATTATCTTATACTTAATTTTTAGATGCCTTTTCTCACTTTTGGGAAGGAGGTTTTTGGTGTTTACTCTGTCAGTGTCATATTGATGTTTGTTTCTGATAAAGTACTTGAGAGAAGCATAGAATGAAAACTTACAGCACAGAGTCATACCTAGTAAAATGGATACACGTGGTTTATAGTTATCTCTCTCTCTCTTCTTTCTTTTCTTTTCTTCTTTTTTGGCAGAGTCTCACTCTGGTTACTCAGGCTGGAGTGCAGTGGCATGATCTTGGCTCACTGCAGCCTCGACTTCCCCAGGCTCAGGTGATTCTCCTACCTCAGCCTTCTGAATAGCTGGGATTACAGGTGCATGCCACCACACCCAGCCAAGTTTTTGTGTTTTTAGTAGAGATGGGGTTTCACCACTGTGTTGCCCAGGCTGGTCTCGACCTCCTGGACTCAATCCTCTCGCCTTGGCCTCCCAGAATGGTGGGATTACAGGTGTAAACCACCATTCCTGGCCATTCTTTGTATCAACCTGAACAATTTTACCTCTTAGTATAACAACTGAATTACAGACGCAATTGAGTTTATCCTCTTCATTTTTTTTTTTACAGAAAAGGAAACAGAGGGCCAGATCTAGTTATTGGGAATGACTTGGTCTTAGAGTCGTCAGCATGCTATAGTGGGAGTTCAGAGCCAGACTAAAATGGCTCAGATTCTTAGCATTGCCATTTACTAGTCATGTGACCTTGAGGAAACTTGATTTTTTTGGTTTATTTATAAACTACAGATAATAACTATGTCATAGGATTACTGTGACAGTTAACCAGGATAACTTTTTTTTTTTTTGAGTCAGGGTCTCACTTTGTCACCCAGGCTGCAGTATAGTAGCACGATCTTGGGTCACTGCACCCTCTGCCTCCCAGGCACAAATGATCCTCCCACCTCAGCTTCCTGAGTAGCTGGGGCTATAGGTGTGTGTAACCATGCCTAGCTAGTTTTTTTTTTGTTTTTTTTTAAATTTTTTATAGAGACAGAGTCTCACTGTGTTGCCCAGGCTGGTCTTGAAATCCGGAGCTCAAGCAATTCGCCTGCCTAGGCCTCCCAAAGTGCTGGGATTATAGGCGTGAGCCACCATGGCTGGCCCAAGATAACATATTTTAAAGAACCCAGTAGTGTGCCTGACACATTGTAGGTACACTGTAAATTCTGTTTTTTTCATGTCCTCCCAGATTGCAGTTTTTTCTGGCATATTGTTGCCTCTTTTTTTTTGATGGAGCCTTCCTTTATCACCCAGGCTAGAGTGCAATGGTGTGATCTCGCTCACTACAACCTCTGCCTCCCAGGTTCAAGCAGTTCTCCTGCCTCAGCCTCCTGAGTAGCTGAGATTATAGGCACTTGCCGCCACACCCAGCTAATTTTTGTATTTTCAGTAGAGAGGGGGATTCCCCATGTTGGCCAGGCTGGTCTCGAACTCCTGACCTCGAGTGATCTGTCCGCCTTGGCCTCCCAAAGTGCTGGGATTTACAGGCGTGAGTCACTGCACCTGGCCTCTTGCCTCCTTTTTGAATTTAACATCAAGTATATCTAAATTAGCTGAAAATAATATGCTTTGCTTACATTTGTTACTTTGTTTATAGTATTTGCTTAGCAAACTTTTTTCCTTAATAGACTAAAAAAATTTGGTCCTTTTCTGAATTTTTCTGGATGACAGTTACTGAAATTTAAATTGAGAAGATTTGGCCAGGCCTGGTGGCTCACACCTGTAATCCTAGCACTTTGGTAGGCTGAGGCGGGCGGATCACTTGAGGTCAGGAGCTCAAGAGCAGTCTGACCAACATGGGGAAACACTCTCTCTACTAAAAATACAAAAATTAGCCGGGTATGGTGGTGGGTGCCTGTAATCCCAGCTACTTGGGTGGCTGAGGCACAAGAATTGCTTGAACCCCGGAAGTGGAGGTTGCAGTGAGCCAAGATCACACCACTGCACTCCAGCCTGGGTAATAGAGTGAGACTCTAAATAAATAAATAAATAGAGAAGATTTTACTTTTCATATTGAAGTACTTTATCCAAAGTAACTTTTGTTATTATATCTTAATTTATTGTAATTATTGAATATTAGTTACAAATAGTTCTTAATCATATTTTGTGTGTTAGCAGGGTACAGTGTAATTATTTTCATGCTTGTGTTTTGCTACAGTAAACAGGATAGTTTAGAAAGGCTATAATTAATAGATGTTCAAAAGTTGCTTTGATGTCCTTAGATAAAAGCTATGCTTCCAACACCAAATGCTAGTATTTTTAATTATCATTCTCCTTTTTAATTTGAAATAATGGCTTGAGTACTGTAGTGCTAGCTCCAGGATTCTTAGCCTGTATTGTTTAATGTGAATGTGCAGAAAACATTTTAGAATTTTTTTTTTTTTTTTGAGAGAGGATCTTGCTCTATCACCCAGGCTGCAGTGCAGTGGCGTGATATCGACTCACTGCAACTTCTGCCTCCTAGGTCCAAGCAGTTCTCATGCCTCAGCCTCCCATGTAGCTGGGACTATAGGCATGCGCCGCCACACCCGGCTGATTTTTGTACTTTTAGCCAGGCTGGTCTTGAACTCCTGGCCTCAAGTGATCCGCCCTCCTGGGACTCCCAAAGTGCTGGGATTGTAGGCATGAACCACCACACCAGGCCAGAAATGATTAACATTTATCTTTCAAAAAATGCACTTTTAGATTCAGGTTGTTTGCTATTTGAGTGCAGTTGCAGAAGCATGTTGTCAGATACTTGAATACTGACTTTCCCGTGACATTAATAGATAGCTTTCTTTGTTGTGAGGTATAAAAAATACAATTGCTGATGCCCAAGGTTGTGTTTCATAAGGTAAATGAATTTTATTTGAGGTTCTGTAGACTTCAAATTGGGAGATCCTCGAGGTGATGAAATAGGAAGTTTAACTACCTTCATTTTTTTTTGGAGTAGTTTTCATTTGCTTTCTCCATTTTCTTGTACCTCATCTTGTCTGTAACTACTTGTAAATGCAACTTTTACCTGCAACCCCTGAAAAATAACTGCTCAAAGGCTCCCAATTTCTCATAATCACCAAAATCAATTGATTGGCTTTTTTTTTTTCAGTTCTCATTGTGCTTATTCATTAGAGAGAGTTGGATTCTGTTAATCTTCATGAAAGATCTCATCTCTTTGCTTTCCTTGTACTGTATCTTCTCTTTATCTCTTGAGCTGCACCTCTTTTCCCTTCCTTATTGGCCCAACTTCTTACTTCTCTGCCCAAGTACCTGTATCTCAGGACTCACTTTTTCTAACATTTCTATTGTCATCATCATCAGTCAGTCCACGTTCAGATGGCTCTTATGCATTCTTTTGTCTTTACCACCTTAATTAAATGATTCTGAAATCTCTTGATCCCTTTTCCTGCACTTAAGGCTCACACTCTTACTAATGGGAATATTCAGCTGGTTGCCTTGTTGTCTCCTATAACTTTTGGTGTGTCCAAAATCAAAGTCTTCATCTTAGAACAAACTTCATGGCTTTCCTTGATCTTGTTATTGGTACTGGTATTATTATTCATCTAGGCCCATTTTAATAATCATTGATTCTTTCTCTTATCCCCCTTCAATTTATTTAGGCACACAGTTCTAGTCTAACTTTGTTTAACACAGTTTGGGCTGGGCACGTGGCTCATGCCTGTAATCCCAGCACTTTGTGAGGCTGAGGCAGATGGATTGCTTGAGCCCAGGAGTTTTAGACCAGCTTGGTCAACATGGTGAAACCCCATCTTTACTAAAAATAAAAAATTAACCAGGCGTAGTGTCGCATACCTGTGGTCCCAGCTACTCAGGAGGCTGAGGTAGAAGGATGGCTTGAGCCAGGGAAGCGGAGGTTGCACTCAGCTGAGATCGTGCCATTGCATTCCGGCCAGGGTGATAGAGCCAGAGCTTGTCTCAAAACAAAATGAAACAAAACAAAACAAAACAAAACACCACACACAGTTTGGAGGATGGTGGCTTTTACAAAATTGAGGTTAGTTGATGGGTTATTAGTTCATTTGCTGATTCGGCCTAAGAGCAGGAAGAGGTTCTTATTTCTTAAATAGAAGTTTTGTGGGGACTGTGGTTGAAAAGAAGGTGCCATGGCATTGTAGAATCCTTTTAAAGTTGCTGGTGCTTGGGCATGACTGAGGCTCTGACCTTTTCTGTTATGATTTCCTGTTAGTTGGAGAGGTACCACTTCAATCCAGGCACCTTTTTTACATTAACACGTCTGCTTCAGCGTCAGGCAGTTCATTCCAAAGGGAATGAACTGGAAATCATATCAGAAAAGGTCAGAGCCTCAGTCATGCTCAAGCACCAACAACTTTAAAAGCAAAGTGTTTGGCAGAGTGGATACACACATACAACTCAACTTTTATGGACTGTGCCCTTCATTTCCAAACTTAGTTTTCCCCCTAATTTATCAATATCAGAACCCTCTGGAAAGTCTTTTATTGTGATGGGTGTTATATCTGATTACCTTTTTTTATTCCCCTGCACATCTGAAACCTGGCATGCCCATTTCCCATCACTCAGTCCACAGTAGACATGTTTCTTGGCCAGTTATAAGGGCAGAGGTTGCTGGGATTCTTTTTTGTGCATCTTATGGTTGCTAAATCAGAAACTTTTTAGATGGATGAGCTGGCACTTGCAGTACTAGTGCTTAGTGAAAGAAGGAAACAGACCTCAACATGCCACAACAAATACCCAAAACCAAAAATTGTATCCCATTATAGTTAATTACTTCAGAAGGCAATTTAACTTATCTAGATTATCTGTAAATGCTGACGAAGTCAGAGTGGAGAATAGCTCAAGCCCTTGCTAGACAAATAAAACTGTTGTAACTGTTAATTTTGTTCATTAGAGAAGAATTATGAAGAAAGATATTAATAAGGTGTTTCATGTCTTGACTGTTCTCTAGATGGTTCTTTTCTAGAGTATTTCCATGTTCTCTGCTTCTTTCTACCAGATATTTGGTGATGGATATCATACTTAGGAAAGTAAAGTAAAAGGAGGAAGTTCCTTTTTGCTAATAGGGAAACTTGGTCACATTGGCCCACATATATCTAATTACTGTAATCTATATGTTATTTGTTAAATAGCAATTCTTAAAAGTTTGGTTTTATGCATTTTAACCTAGATTGTTAATGTAGCTATTATCTTAGGTTCAACAATGATTTGTTTTTAGCCAGGTTTAGCATTCAGAGGCCTTTTTCCACATCAGTAGACATATCCCACAGCATCATTGTTTATGACTTCATAGTATTCTGTTATATGATTGCACCATATTTTTTATTACTTAATTTTTTGATAGATAATACATGTACGTAGTGTAAAATACAAACGATCTGAAAGAGTATACAGTGAAAAGCAAAGTGTCTCTCTTTGTTCCCTTTTCAGGATGCAGTAACTGTTACACATTTCTTTTTTTTTTTTTTTTTGAGACGGAGTTTCGCTTTCGTTGACCAGGCTGGAGTGCAATGGCACGATTTCATTTCACCGCAATCTCCACCTCCCTGGTTCAAGTGATTCTCCTGCTTCAGCCTCCCGAGTAGCTGGGACTACAGGCACATGCTACCACACCCAGTTAATTTTTGTATTTTTAGTGGAGATGGGGCTTCACCATGTTGGCCAGGATGGTCTCCATCTCCTGACCTTGTGATCTGCCTGCCTCGGCCTCCCAAAGTGCTGGGATTAGAGGCGTGAGCCACTGTGTCTGGCCTACACATTTCTTTTGTTCCTCCAGAGATATTCTACATAAATACAAACCAATACATAATCATGTATGATATATATGCACACACAAAAATGGCAACGTATTGTACCTTCTGTTGTGTATAATGCGTGTTCTTCCCCCTCAATTAAAAGATGTTCCATAGAGGTTCATAAAATTTTGCTTCATTGTTTTCCGGTTGCTTAATATTCTGGTTTATGAGTCTGCCATAATTTATTTAACTAGTTTATTTTTGACTATTCAATTTTCAGATTGTTTGTTCTGTCAGTTCACCCATGTGCAATCATTACAGCCTCTCTTACCACATTTTACATGGTGTCATCCTCTGGGCTTGATCTGCTTCTCCTGATCAAACTGTGAGTGAAAGCTCTTACAGAAGGAAATCAGTATCACACTGAATAGGGTGAGACAGTGCTTAATGTTTACAAATCTGTTTTGTGGTAGAAATATATGAAAAATAAAAATTCTAACTTTTCATTTTCTCTTAAGAAACTCCTTTTTTTTTTTTTCAAAGAAATTGCATAAGAAGTGCTACCTTGTGTGGGAAGTGTTATCCTAGTCCTGATTCTTTCCAGTCAGGCAGACTTACTTTATTTTTCCACAGATTATGTTTTTGTTTTAGGATTTGAGTACTGAATTATCCTGATTACTACTACTGACTAATTGTAAACTCCAAAAAATGAAGAAAAAAGAAATATGCTAGCTGAATTTGGAAGGAAATAATCATTTCTGTTTAGCTCTGTTTTAGGGAAGTACTGTCGACTCAACTTCAAGCATTTGTGTCACTTGAGGTGGTTGCTTTTTATGGTCCAGATTTATATTTCCCTCACTAGAGTACTGGACCCTTTTGTCAGACGGTAAACATGGTGTTTTTGAAGCCTTCATTTAAATTGGAAATAGGAGCATGGAGGAATATTGGGGCGTTTTGAAATAAACGTGGATGGCCGAGCATGGTGGCTCACGCCTGTACTACCAGCGCTTTGGGAGGCTGAGGCTAGTGGATCACCTGAGGTCAGGAGTTTGAGACAAGCCTGACCAACATGGTAAAACCCTGTCTTTACTGAAAATACAAAATTAGTTGGGCCTAGTGGTGCATGCCTATAATCTCAGCTACTGGGGAGGCTGAGGCAGGAGAATCACTTGAACCCTGGAGGTGGAGGTTGCAGTGAGCCGAGATCGCCCCATTGCACTCCAGCCTGGGCAAGAAGAGCAAAACTCTGTCACAAAAAAAGAAAAAAAAAGAAATAAACATGGATAGTTTTCAATTAGACTAGAACATTCTCATGAATTTTTGGACTAAAACAGAAGATTTTAAAAGATAATTTTGAGTTTAAGTATCACCTAGGGTCTAAGAGTCTGAGTTTTATTTTCTTCCCTTATCAGTGTTATTTGGAAAAGCTGGAGAGGAATTAATTGAAGTGAGTCTAAGAAACAAGGGGGTTACTTAAGGCTTCAAAGTAGCTTGGAGGTAAAATTAATGTGTTTATTTATTGCTAATTTATAGATTATATGATTTCTCAATTACACTGAAAAATCTCAGGTATAAACCTTCCAGGAGTCTGTTAGCTGCATTCACTGAGAATATAGCATGTGCAAATAAACTCCTTTAAGGCAGTGGGCCTCACGTTTGTTTGTTTGTTTTTTGTTTTTTTTTTTGAGACAGGGTCTCACTGCAGATTTGACCTCCTGGACTCAAGCGATCTTCCTGCCTCAGCCCTGGAGTAGTACTACAGGCATGCGCCACCACACCCGGCTAATTTTTGTATTTTTTTGTGGAGATGGGGTTTCACCATGTTGCCCAGGCTGGTCTTGAACTCCTGAGCTCAAGTGATCCTCCCTCTTTGGACTTTCAAAGTACTGGGATTACATGCATGAGCCACTGCGCCCAGTCTCACATTTTAACGTGCAATGGAGTTTCCTGCAGAGGTTGTTAAAAATTCCTGGTTGCCATTCCAGAGATTGTAGTGGCACATCTCTGGGATAAAACCTAGGGATCTTTCTTTTTTTTTTTTTTCAAAACAGAGTTTCGCTGTTATTGCCCAGGCTGGAGTGCAATGGCACGATCTTGGCTTACTGCAACCTCCGCCTCCTGGGTTCAAGCAATTCTCCTCTCTCAGCCTCCCTAGTAGTTGAGATTACAAGTATGCACCACTATGCCCAGCTAATTTTTTATCTTTTTAGTAGAGACGGAGTTTCACCATGTTGGTCAGGCTGATTTTGAACTCCTGACTTCAGATGATCCGCCTGCCTCGGCCTCCCAAAGTGCTGGGATTACATGAGTGAGCCACTGTGCCTGGCTGGGATCTTTCTTAAATAAACACATTACGTGATTCTGGTCTGTAGACTACTTTTTGACTATTATAGGAGTAAGAATTATGATTTTTTTAAAAAAATTAATTTTTACAAGAATAGAGACAAGGTCTTGGTATGTTAAACAGGGGTCTCACTATGTTGACCAAGCTGGTCACGAACTTCTGGCTTCAAGTGATCCTCCCACCTCGGCCTTCCAAAATGCTGGGATTACAGGCATGAGCCACAAAGCCTGGCCAAGAATTATGATTTCTAAAAGGATGAAAAATCATACCCCATTAGTTAAAAAGATTTAAAGGCAGGAGCGTGTAAACATTTTCAGGATTGTGGGTAATTTAAAATAACACCATAGTGCAGCACAGTAAGCTTGGTGTTGAAATTGGTTTGTCTTGTGTGAAGACAGATAGATACTAGTTGTTCCCTCTGTGTTAGTGATGGATAACTTGTGGCTGGCAAGAAGACTCAACAATCATGTGGCTATATGTGTCCCAAGTAGCAAATAAGTATCTTAGAAGTCAAAATACTTTTGTCTTAGAATTTAAGATGGCTTTGATTTTAAAAAATCAGAATATTTAATTTATTTTGAAATACCAAATATCATTGAGGAGTGGGACATTAGATTTTAATTTTAGCAAATGGGAGCATGGGTTAAATGAGTTAATTTTTCAAAATATTTGAAGGAGAGTAGCGAGATTATGGTGAAGTAGGCCTTGTCATGCATCATTTTGAATGGATGCAGTTTTGGATAACATTTTGAATATATGTATCAAAATCTTATAAAGGGGCTGGGCACGGTGGCTCACACCTGTAATCCCAGCACTTTGGGATGCCAAGGTGGGCGGATCATTTGAGGTCAGGAGTTCAAGACCAGCCTGAGCAACATGATGAAACCCCATCTCTACTAAAAATACAAAAAATGAGCTGGACATGGTGGTGCACATCTGTAATCTCAGCTACTCAGGAGACTGAGGCAGGATAGTTGCTTGAACCCGGGAGGCGGAGGTTGCAGTGAGCCAAGATCGTGCCTCTGCACTCCAGCCTGGGTGACAGAGCGAGACTCCGTCTCAAAAAAAGAAAAAAAAAAATCTTATGAAAGTTCGTACTGATTTACATAGTAAGTCCATTTCTGAGAATCTCAAAAGGAAATAATTGTGTTTTTTTTTTTTTTTTTTTGAGACGGAGTTTCACTCTATCACCCAGGCTGGAGTGCAATGGCATGATCTCAGCCCACTGCAACCTCTGCCTCCTGGGTTCCAGCGATTCTCCCGCCTCAGCCTCCTGAGTAGCTGGGATTACAGGTGTGCGACCACCATGCCCAGTGAATTTTGTAGTTTCAGTAGAGATGGGGTTTCACCATGTTGGCCAGGTTGGTCTTGAACTCCTGACCTCATGATCCGCCCACTTTGGCCTCCCAAAGTGCTGGGATTACAGGTGTGAGACACCGTGCCGGCCAGAAATAATCTTAAATATGGAAAAAGCTTTATAAGTATAGATACATAATACAGAATTGTTTATAATAACACAAAAATTGGAAACAACCCAGTGATTTTATATTAATGTTTAAGGAAACAGTGATCCATTCACACAAGGAAATATTATTTAATCATACAGTGTCTTTGAAGAGTTTATAATACAGGGAAATGCTTATATTAGAATGTTATGTAAATAAAAGTAGGCTCCAGAATTATATATCATCTTAAAGACTAGAAGGAAATTTGGAAAATATTAATTTTGGCGATTTTTTAGTAATTATGGGATTGTGGTTCTCCTCATACATATTCCTCAAATTTTCTGTACTGAGCATGCTTTTTTTCTAATGAAAAAATAGCAAGCAAAAATAAATATTTTGATCTTAAAAATAGTTTAGATAAGATGCTATAATCAGATATTATCAAAGTATTTAGTGGCATTTGACAGAGCTAGGAAACTGATTTATAAACAGTGAATAGGGGTGGGAAGAGAGAATCCAAATTAATGGACTGTTACAGGAATCAGTGCTAAACCCATTTTCAGATGAGGTGTTTGTAAATGAACTGGAATAAGTATACTGTGATTCTCCAAATTTGTAGCTCTTTTGGGTACGAAATGCCAATGGAATTGGTTTTAGCTCTGAAAATTTTGAGACTATATATGAACGGACAGAAAAGTAGTAAGTGATTTCCAGTTGGCCAAATCTAAGAGGTGGTTGGTACACACTAAAGATTATTTATTGGGATTGTTAATTGCCCTCTGCTATTGTATTCTGAAATACAGTATAGCCAAAAATGTAAATAAATACTTAAAATATTTACATAAATTAGTAGATAGTAAGGAATCCAAGATATATGGATTTGGCCTAACCTTTGAGGTTTATATAAAGGCGAACAGTCGGTGTTTTTCACAGTGCGATTTTTATTTTAATTTTAACTTTTAAAATTTGTTTTGATTTGATACAGTACTGCTCTGGATAGGTTTTGGATCAGACTTGCTGTGACAGTTCTTGCACTCCCTAAGGTGCTGTACCAAGGGCATGCTATTTTCTGTGTGAGGAGCCCTATCAGATACATAAAAACAAACAACATCCTTTGAGATATATCTAAAAATAGGATATGAATTTTGTAAAAAGCATAGCAATAAATTCCAAGTGTGTGATCATAGTAGAGCATTAGTAATGAGAGAAAGGATTTGGAGGAAGCTGCTGAAATGTTATTTGTTTTTAAAATCAAATGGGGCTGGGCGTGGTGGCTCACACCTGTAAATCCCAGCACTTTGGGATGCTGAGGTGGTTGGGTCATGAAGTCAAAAGTTCAAGACCAGCCTGGCCAAGATGGTGAAACCTCATCTCTACTAAAGTACAAAAATTAGCCGGGTGCGGTGGCAGGCACCTATAATCCCAGCTACTCGGGAGGCTGAGGCAGGAGAATAGCTTGAACCTGGGAGGTGGAGGTTGCAGTGAGCCGAGATCGTGCCACTGCACTTCAGCCTGGGTGACAGAGTGAGAGTCCGTCTCAATAAAAAATAAAAAGATAAAAAAAAAAAAAAACCATTAAGTGAGATTTTGTAGTTGGTAAGGCTTCTCGGAAACACTTTTCATTGTAGTGAGAAGCAGTGGTTCCCAAATGCTGATTTTTGATGAATTTTTCACTGTTCTGCATTGAAATTAAGAATATCAGAACATCATAGTGAGTGGGGTTTTCATAGTGGTAGTATATTTCATGAATTTTAATATGTATGTTTTCCCACACTTTTTCATTTCTGAAATTGAGATGTGTTTTCCAGTCAGTAGCAACTTAAAATTATCATTTGGAAAATAGTTGTCACTGCCTGTTCATATGTGAATTTGGTAGTTAATCCTACTGATATGACTGACTACACAACATCACCCCTTTGATGTTTCAGTCAACATACTAGTTAAATACCAATTACAGAAGGTGTACCATCCCTGGGTTGTTTTCTGAAACCGTCTGTTACATCATTCAGTGATACCTTTTGGTAAGATCAGGAAAGGGACTGCATTGAGACTTGGGCGATATATGTCAGCAGCTTGGAAGACAGTCCCAAAGCAACAGAGAAACACTTTAAAAAAATGTTGAATCATGAATTCTCTTAATGGTATGAAGGACGATACTATGGAAAAACAAGGATTGCTGATGACTCTAAGTAAAAAGCAATTTGATGATCAGATTGTGAATGTTGAGGAAAATTTTAAGAATACCTTATTTATTTTGCTTTTGTATTTTTTATAAGCACAAGGATTATATATTTGTCTGAATAAGTATTTTTTTGTTTTTTAAATTTTTTACTTCCATTGTTTTATTTTTCTTTTCTTTTTTTTTTTTTGAGATGGAGTCTCACTGTGTCACCCAGGCTGGAGTACAGTGTCGTTATCTCAGCTCACTGCAACCTCCGCTTCCCAGGTTCAAGCGATTCTC